>NC_000015.10:89623096-89774611 GCF_000001405.40 Homo sapiens | reverse complement strand
GCTTCTGCTCAGTAAAACAGGAATAATGATAGTATCTACATGGGATTGTGTAAGGGATAGTTGAGATAGTAAAATTTATAAAGTAAATGATATTCTCAGCAACAATTACAGTTTAAAGGAGATTGTCAATGTCCTGTGTGGTCTTGGGGAAAGGGCTGAGTCCTGAGGCTAAGAGTCAAAAGAAGACCAGGGACATTAGGGTTCTGGCCACAGAGGTGAAGAAGTCATAGCTGGGCCTTGAACCATGCGTAGGATTTGAGTAGGGAGAGAGGCAGGTGCCGTGCTTTCCGGATGGGAACTGCATAAGCAAAGACCTGGCCTTGGGACCTTCCAAGATGCCTTAGGAGCAGGGCACTGGGGTGGTGATGTGGAAGGCCAGAGCACACCTGGGCTGGGGCCAGGTTAAGGAGTTGGTTTTGGGAGCCATAGGGACTTTTGAGCGGAAGGGTGATACAATTTTAAAAATCATTAGCTAATAACTAACTAAAGATCAACATGACAATGGTGTTCAAGAAGAGATTAACCTGCAGCAGCCTGAAGTAGCAAATGGCTTCGTAATTATTTAATCATTATTATCATTTTTTGTGGAGTTGGGTTTTACCCAGGCTGGTCTTGAACTCCTGGGCTCAAGTGATTTGCCCTCCTCAGCCTCCCAAAGTGCTGGGATTACAGGCATGAGCCACCAGGCCCAGCTGCCTTGTAATATTTTTGTGGCTGATTTTATTTTATTTTATTTTATTTTATTATTTGTTTTATTTTTGAGACAGGGTCTGTCGCCCAGGTTGGAGTGCAGTGACAGCTCACTGCAACCTCCGCCTCCCAGGCTCAAGGAATCCTCCTGCTTCAGCCTCCTGAGTAGCTGGGACCACAGGTGCACGCCACCATGCCTGGCTAATTTTTGTATTTTTAGTAGAGATGGGGTTTCGCCATGTTGGCTAGGCTGGTCTCGAACTCCTGGCCTCAAGTGATCGCCTGCCTCAGCCTCCCAAAATGCTGTTATTACAGGCGTGAGCCACTGTGCCCAGGCTTCATTTATTTTAATTTTAGAGACAGGGTCTCACTCTGTTGCCCAGGCTGGAGTGCAGTGATGCAATCTTGGCTCACTGTACCCTAAAACTGTGTTCAAGTGATCCTCCTGCCTCAGCCTCTCAAGTAGCTGGGACTACAGGCGCATACCACTATGACTGGCTAATCTTTTTTTTTGTTTCTTTCTTTTTTTTTGAGGGAGGGCGTGGCTATTTTCAAAAATTAACTTTTAATTACACAAATTATGTAACTACTACCTTTCACTGTGAGAAATGGAAACATTACAGATAAAGTTGGAGTCTCTTTAACCAACCCCATAAACCCCCAAAAGGTAACAGCTGTTATTAGGCTGTGTGTGTAGTTCCAGACCTGGCCAGTGGGTTAACATAAACGTGTATCCTTAGCAAACACACAGTAACCCTCCAGTTACATTATGTACATTGTTATGTGTAAATGTCAGCTTGTAATTTGTTTTTCTTCTTTTCTTTTTCTTTTTCTTTTTTTTTTTTTTCATTCAACAGCATGTTTCAGAGCATTCCATGTCAGGACATATTTTGCTGACTCACCCTTTAAAAAAATAATGGATCAAATTTTTAGTGGGGATAATCCCAGCACTTTGGAAGGCTGAGGTGAGAGGTTGGCTTGAGCCCAGGAGTTCAAGACCAGCCTGGGCAACATAGTCAGACCCCGCATCTAAGAAAAAAAAAAATTAGCCAGGCATGGTGGGGTGGGCCCTGTAGTCCCAGCTACTTGGGAGGCTGAGGCAGGAGGATCCCCTGAACCCAGGAGTTTGAGGTTGCAGTGAGCTATGATCGTACCACTGTGCTCCAGTCTGGCCACAGAGCAACACCCTGTCTCAAAAAAAAAAAAAAAAAAAAAGTACTGCCTGCGAATACAGATTTAACCAAAACCTTGGTTATAGTTGATCTAAATGTTTTAAATGTTTATCTCTTTAAATAATTTTTTTCTTTAGACAGGGTTTCACTCTGTCACCCAGGCTGGAGTGCAGTGGGGCAGTCACCGCTCACTGCAGCCACCACCTCCCGGGCTCAGGTAATCTTCCCACCTCAGCCTCCGGAGTAGCTGGGACTACAGATGTGCACCATCACTCCGGCTAAAATTTGTACTTTTTGTAGAGACAGAGTTTCACCATGTTGCCTAGGCAGGTCTCATACTGCTGGGCTCAAGCAATCCATTCGCCTCGGCCTCCCAAAGTGCTGGGATTACAGGTATGAGTCACTGTACGCAGCCCATGTAAATAATTTTAACTTTGGAAAAAAGGTAAAATGGCAGAAGGTACGGATACACCTTCAATAATGAAATTATGTCACTTTTTCTCCTCAGAATTTATTTTGAAATATATCGGAGAAAATATGCCCAAGTCACTGCTCTAACGTTATGATGAAGTAACACTTGGTGTTGAATAACTCTGGGCAAACAACTATCGTTTAGTTTATTCTAGCTGCTATGAATAAAGAAGAGAAAATTTTAATTGGTCCATAACATGAAAAGAAGGTGGGATAGATTTCAAACAGGCTTTCTTTGGAGAGAAGCAGTTAGTTATGGAACATTTCATGGCTTAAAAGGGTTTAAACCAAAATTTAAAAAAAACAACAACAAAAAACAACTATTTCCTAAGGGGAAATAAGGGACAACTTGTAAAACATTCACCCCTAGACTTTTTGGGTTGAAATAATGGCACATGTAGTGTAGGTACATCATTTATTGGTCCGAGGCCACACAACACTATAAAGCTCTTGACATACTGTCTATCAGGGAACTTGCATGTATCCATTCAACAGTTATAAACAAAATTCATCAGGCTTCATAGATATGTCTTGATCTAGGTGCTGCATTTCAGATAGAGCAGGTGCTGTTTCTATTGGTGTTTCTTTATTATTTATTTATTTTTTTTGAGATGAAGTTTCGCTCTTGTTGCCCAGGCTGGAGTGCAATGGCATGATCTCAGCGCACTGCAACCTCCGCCTCCTAGGTTCAAGCGATTTCTCCTGCCTCAGCTTCCCAAATACGTGGGATTACAGATGCCTGCCACCACACCTGGCTAATTTTTTGTATTTTTAGTAGAGACAGGGTTTCACCATGTTGGCCAGGCTGGTTTTGAACTCCTGACCTCAGGTGATCCACCTGCCTCGGCCTCCCAAAGTGCTAGGTTTACAGGTGTGAGCCACCACGCCTGGCTTCTATTGATGTTTCTGACTCACACCTTTATTTTTGTTTATTTTTTTATTTTTTGAGACACTCTCTCTGTTTTGTCCAGGCTGGAGTACAGTGGTGTGATCTCAGCTCACTATAACCTCCGCCTCCCAGGTTCAAGCGATTCTTGTGCCTCAGCCTTCCAAGTAGCTGGGACTACAGGCATGTGCCACCGTGCCCGGCTAATTTTTGTATTTTTAGTAGAGACAGGGTTTCACCATGTTGGCCAGGCTGGACTCGAACTCCTGACCTCATGCAATCTGCCTGCCTTGGCCTCCCAAAGTGCTGGGATTACAGGCATGACTCATGCCTTTTAACTGCTATATGGTAGTCCATGGCATGCACAGCCACTTACTGATGCACCTTTATTGTATTTTTAGTTTTTGCCCAGCAGTGCTGCTTTGTGCATAAACAGCTAGGAATACAGTGGTGGATGGTCTTGTGATCTCCAGGAAGCTTCTGAATATCCAGAATTATTTCCCCCCAACCTCCTTAGAGCCAGCCTGAGGGATTTCTTGTGGAGGGATTTGGTATATAATGGGATTCCACCACAGGCACAGAGCCCTGCACATGGTACATACATCCTTTCCTCTCGGAGATTGCCTGGTCTCCTTCTACCTTGGTTTGAGCTAGCCTGGAGCCTAGACCCTAGGCTGACTGTGGGTTTTACAGTGTAAGTTCTGGAAGGTGGGGCCCTGGGCCTGGTTTGTTGTGGCCCCTGGCTCTTCCCTGTACTCCTCAGCTAGGCTCTGGAAGCACAAGGGCACTCTATCTGCTAGCCTCACTCACCAGGAGGGAACCCCAAGTGGATCCCCCAACTGGGCCTCCACTTAGCACAGGGAGGCAGTGCAGCTTAGTGGTCAGGTGTCTGGGCTGCAGAGTGAGACAGGCCTGGTTTCTTACCAGCTGGGAGAACTTGGGCAACTTACTCAATCTCAGTTTTCCCGTCTATAAGTGGGTATTCTGATCTCCAGGATAACTGAAGTAAAATAAGATAATGCATGTGATAACGTTTAGAACAGGGCTGATGTTATGCTTACAGCAAGTTCAGGAACAGCAGAAAGAAGTGATTAAAGGAATAGGTTGGACTGTGAGTAAGGGGAATGATATCTTCAGCCTTGGTCCCAGAAGGAAGTGATTCCTTGCTTTCTGGGAACTGCTCCCACACCAAACCAGGGCATCCTGCCCTCCCCACCTCTCCATATCCAGCCTTTCTCTTCTGTTGGGCCCTGGCAGGGATGCCTGTCCAACTTGCCTACAGCCCTGGGGCCCTTAAGGGGTCCACTTCTGGATGGGTGTGGGGCCACGTATTTACTCTGTGCTGGAACCTGCCCTAGGTGCCGAGCAAACAAGCCAGGTTTGGATCCTACCCTGCAGCCCCTTTTCAGTGTTTCCACCCTTCATTTGGTTCCCCTGTTAAAAAGAGGGCCTGTGGCTGTGTGCCATTGGGTAAGGTGATTACATTCTGGGCTTCAGTGTGCTAGTAGCACCAGGTTCACATCTTCCTTTCTGTGATAGGAATGGTGGCTAGATCAGGGAAACGTGATCAGAAGAATGTATTTGGGTTTCACAAGTGTGGCAGACACTGCTAGTTGCCCACACAGCCTTTATTTGCCTTTTTCTTTTAGTAATCTTGTGTTGTGCATGGTGATACACCCTGCTAAAAAAAAAAAAAAAAAAAAAAAGAAAGAAAAGAAAAAGAAAAATCACCATCTTGTTTAGGTCAGTGTCATTTTAGGAGGTACTATGAGCAACGAAACACAATTCCTACCCACATAATAGGGAAGTTCCCAGAGTTTCCTTATCACCAATGGGGCCATGTGAGCTGGATGACGGTTCAGTTAAGTGAATTCACAACAGATTCAGGGCTCCCACAAATGAATGAGCGGATGTTCACTGGGAGGAAGGTCTCTAGTGAGGGGCCACAGGCACTGTTCCCAGCCTTTTCCTGGGCAGTATTATGATCTTGAATGAAGATATGAACTGATCTAATGTGGGGTAAGACCCAAACCCAAAAGTGACTTGGGAAACAGCCAGTATCTAAATAAATCCTGACAGGCTGGAACAACCCATCAGACCTGATCAAATAGAACGAGCAGGTCCCCTGTACCCTTCTCCAAGTTCACGTCAGGAGGCATCCTGTAAAATCAGCACATGTGGGAGGGCATGGTGGTCATTGCCTTCAAAGTATGAGGGGCATAAAAGTAAATGTGATCCAAGCTGCATGCAAATTCACAAGAAGCAGGCCAGGCGCAGTGGCTCACGCCTGTGATCCCAGCACTTTGGGAGGCCGAGGCAGGTGGATCACTTGAGGCCAGGAGTTTGAGACCAGCCTGGCCAACATGGCGAAACCCCATCTCTATTAAAAATACAAAAAAGCTAGCCAGGCACGATGATGCGCACCTGTAGTCCCAGCTACTCGGGAGGCTGAGGCAGGATAATCCCTTGGACCCAGGAGGCAGAGGTTGCAGTGAGCTGAGATCGCGCCACTGCTCTCCAGCCTGGGCAGCTGAGCAAGACTGTCTCAAAAAAAAAAAAAAAAAAAAATCACAAGAAGCAGGGGTGGGGACGGGGGTGGGGGGGTCTTCAACTGAGGGGGGGTCTTCAACTGAGGAGTGATGGTGATGGTTCCTTATTCTCCAGACAGGATGGGCCCTACCTGAAGTAAGTGGTGAGAACTGGAGGCCACTGTTCATGAGGGATGGGGACAAATCCCAGCTTAGGGAGGCTGGTGAGAGGGCTTGAAGCCAGGTCACCAGTGAAATAGCTGGAGGACCTGGGAGCATTGAGTACAAAAAGAAAAAAGTGGAGGGGATGTGACGGTTGTCTGCAGAGGCACGGACCCAGGGGAACGCTCCAGAGAGAGTCTGAAGAACTTTCTAAGTCAGAGGCTCTGTCTTGTAGGGGAGGGAGTGGCCTGTTCCTGGAGCTAATCAAGAAAAGGTCAGATGACGACACGTTAGGCACGTGCAGGAGCTGGAGCAGATGGCTGCTGCGGCCTCTGCCAAGCTCTGTAAAACAGGGGGTTGGACCTGATGACCACTGATGTTGTTTCAGAGCTCAGGCCAACAACTAGGGAGAGAACAGGAGCTGCTGCTTCAGGACTCCTGGTAATCCCAGGGCAGGAACACAGGGGAGTCCTCAGGGTGTCCTGAGTAGGGGGAGCACAGCGGGAGGCCTCCCAAGTGCCCAAGCTCAGGCCACCTGCACACCTACTCTTGTCGGTGCCTGAAGCTCAGTGGCTCGGCTAGGCCTGCTCTCAGGGTTGGAAGCACAAAGCTGCCATCATCTTGTGCAGGTCTTGCCTGTGTGGCATGGGCCAGCTTGGCCCTGAGGCAGGTAATGCCCGTCTGTATTCCTTCTAGACAGTGAGGAATCTTGAGACCTCCATCCCACCACCCCTTTATGGGCCTCCCAGCACTTCCTCCCCAACCAGCAGTGGGGTGGGGAGGGCAGAGGCCTCAGGTTGGCCCCCCAAGATGTGCTCATTCGGCCCTGGCCCTGTTACAGGGTGAGAGAGGGCAATGCCCTTGGTCCAGCCCGCCTTTGGTGGCTTAGCACAGGCCCCTGCAGCCACCTGGCTGCCCACAGCCCTGCGCACAGGAGCTCTGCACCTGCTCTTTCTCCCTGGGTAGGTAGTGCAGGGCCCTGGGAGCAGGTCCAAGGCCCTGGAGCCAGGTTAAAGTCTGGCCCTGACCCACGGGTCTCCTCTCCTTTCCTTCCCCTTGGATCCCTTCCAGGCCCTAGGGGGTGAGAAGGCTGTGGGAATGTGGAAGGGAATTGGGGGTGCTGGGCCCTGAGGGAGCTGCAGGGCCGTGTGGTATTCTCATTACCAGCGAGGCAGAGAGGGCCAGCCCAGCCTCCCCCCCACCGGGCCACTGTGGCTACCTTCACACCTCCTGGCTGCCTGTTGACACAAAGGCCGCCTCCCTCAGGGCAGAAGGTGTTGACTTGGGAACCAGGGTGAGCAGGAGCCTCCAAAACAGCCCAGCAGCAGGTCCCCTCAGAAGCCCCAAAAAGTGCTTCTGGGGTGGGGGGTGGGAGGCTGCAGGTCCCAGCCCCAGGGGGCCAGGGTAAGGCCAGGGCCTATGTTCCTGGGCTAGGGATGGAAGGAGTGTGGGAGGACTCGGGTCTGGATGGACCGCTCACTTGGGGAGCCCAAGTCAGCATCCGCTGGCCCCAGGGGCTGGTACATGGGCATAGCCATGGAGGCCCTGCCAAGCAGAGCACCTCACTGGGAGGTGTCACTGGGAGGCCCAGAGACTGACAGCCACTGGGGCAAGGTCACAGAGCAGCCACTGGAACTGCTACTCGCCCCGACTGCGTGTCAGGCCAACCTCGTCTTCTGAGCCCTTTCCACAGACAAGCCGAGTCTGTGCCTGCTGAGCCTGCTCTGCTCAAACCCTGTGCCCTGCACCCTGCGGCTTTCCCCTGGCTCAGCTCAGGAAACAGGCCCCAGAGAGGTCACATCACTTGCTGAAGGTCCCTGGAGCCAGGACTCCAGCCCACTGGTATCTGGCTTTGAGTCAAAGACTGTGCATAACACCAGTGGGAACACTGCCTGGCTGGGACTAAGCCTCCAGGAGGACGAGTTGCCCGCTTGGGAGTGGAAGGAGAAGGACTGACAAGTTGGCACTGAGTCCGGTGGTGGCCTGGTGTGCAGGGTGCCTGTGGAAGGCAGGGAGGTGCTCCCTGCTGGGGCCATCAGGGCAGATTCTGGGGGGAAGGAAAGGACCTGAGATTGTGGATTTTCTCCAAGTGATGGCGGGTGGGTGTTCCTGGCAGAGGGAAAGGTGTGAGCCCAAGGCTGGAAACAGGGATGCCCAGGGCGAGCTTGCTGGCAGTGCCCAGTGGGCTGGTGCCTCAGGCTGGCAGGGATAAGCAGGAGATGATGTGGACAAGCAGGAGATGATGTGGACAAGCAGGTGGGAACTGGACGGGGTGGGGAGGTCCTGCTGAGTGAGGAGTTCAGACTCAGGGAGGCAGTGAGATCCACACGAGGTTTGAGGAAAGAGAGAGGTTGGAAGGCAAAGATCCTGAGGCAGGAAACTGGTCCAGAGGCTGCGCTCATCTCAGGGCAAGGGCTGATTGCAGCCTGGCAGGGGCCTGGGAGTGGGCCCAGCCGCCACTGGAGAGAATGTGGAAAAGGGGGAAGGACTGGCTGCTGTTGGCTGGGGAAGTAAAGGAGGGGCTGGGAGCCACAGGCATGGGGAGCTGCCCAACAGAGCTCACTCTCTGCTCTTCCTCCAAGAAGGCTGAGCCAGGGAGTCCCAGGACTACCTGGTCCAGTTCCTGGGACAGCAAGGCCCATGGAGGCAGCTCAGGCCTAGGGCCAACAGTGCCTGGGGTCAGCTCCCCATCTAAGCCTCAGTCTCCTCATCTGAAATGGATGTCCTTGCTGGGAGGATTAGATGGAGGACCACATGTTGGGCACCTGGGACTCCACAAGTCCTGCCTGCCTGCCTGCTCTGCTGGAGAGGACCACCCCAGGCCCTGCAGCTCTTGGGAGGACAAAGGGCAGTGCCCATTCCAGGGGCTGCAGGCTCTGGGAAGGAAGACCCAGCCTCCCAGGACTTGTCTCCAGGCTTGGGCTTATCCATTGGAGTGTGAACAAGATGGATAGCGGGGCAGGGGGGTTCAAAGTGTTTTCTCCTCCCCTCCCCTCCCCTCTTCTCCCCTCCCCTCCTCTCTTCTCCCCTCCCCTCCCCTCTTCTCCCTTCCCCTCCCCTCTCCTCTCCTCTTTCCTTTTTCTCTCCTTTCTCTCCTTCCTTCTTCCTCCTCCTCCCTTCCCTTTCCTCTTCCCCTTCCTCTTCCCCTTCCCTTCCTTTTCTTTCCTTTCCTTCTTTTTTTTCACCAAAGCAACACATCCTCATTACAGAAAAGGGAGAGAATATACACATACAAAAAGAAGGGAATTTAAAAGGCCCCCAGTTCCATCAACTCAGAGAGAAGCACTTTGGCCCATGTCATTGCATCTTAACCTTTTTTAGGCCTCTCTACCAGCACAGGAACATAGAGATAGAGGCATTGAGAGGCAGCATGTCACTTTCTGGGGTTGTTTTTCTGTTTTTTGAAGCTTCTAACATATATATTTTTTTCTCTTTTTTTTTTTTTTTTTGAGACGGAGTCTCACTGCTCTGTCACCCAGGCTGGAGTGCAGTGGCGCAATCTCTGCAAGCTCTGCCTCCCGGGTTCACGCCATTCTCCTGCCTCAGCCTCCCGAGTAGCTGGGACTACAGGTGCCCCCCACCACACCTGGCTAATTTTCTGTATTTTTAGTAGAGACAAGGTTTCACCATGTTAGCCAGGATAGTCTCGATCTCCTGACCTCATGATCCACCTGCCTCGGCCTCCCAAAGTGCTAGGATTACTGGCGTAATCCCAGGCCCACGCCTGGCCTATTTTTCTCTTTTTTTTTTTTAAACAGCTTTTTTGATATAGAATTACATACCATACAATTTGGCCGGGCGTGGTGGCTCATGCCTGTAATCCTAGCACTTTGGGAGGCCAAGGTGGATTACTTGAGTTCAGGAGTTCGAGAACATCCTAGGCAACATGGCGAGACCTTGTCTCTACCAAAAAAAGCAAAACTTAGCCAGGTGTGGTGACGCACGCCTGTGGTCCCAGCTACTGGGGTGGCTGAGGTGGGAGGATTGCTTGAGCTTGGGAGGGTAAGGCAGCAGTGAGCCATGACTGCGCCACTGCACTCCAGCCTGGGTGACAGAGCCAGATCCTGTCTCAATAAATAAATAAAGTGTACGATTCAAGGTTTTTGTATATTACATTTTAATTATTTAAAAATTGTAATATTCACCTGAGGTTAGGAGTTCAAGACCAGCCTGGCCAACATGGCGAAACCCTGTCTCTACTAAAAATACAAAAATTAGCCAGTTGTGGTGATGCATGCCTGTGATTCCAGTTACTCAGGAGGCTGAGGCAGGAGAATCGCATGAACCTGGAAGGCAGAGGTTGCCATGAGCCAAGATTGCGCCACTGCACTCCAGCCTGGGCAACAGAGTGAGACTCCATCTCAAAAAAAAAAAAAAAAAAAGTAATATATATAACATAAATTTGCCATCTCTGCCATTTTAAAGTTTGCAATTCGGTGGCATTAATTACATTCACAGTGTTGTGCAACTATGACCACTTCTATTTTTAAAACGTTTTATCACCTTAAATGGAAACTCTGTAACTCTTAAGCAATAACACTCCATTATTCCCCACTTCATTCCTTGGTAACCTCTTACCGGCTTCTGTCTCTGAATTTGCCTGTACTTGGTACCTCATATAAGTGGAATCATGCAATCTTTGTCCTCTGGTGTCTGGCTTCTTTCACTTAGCATAATGGTTTTCCAGTGCATCCACATTGTAGCATGTATCAGTACTTCACTCCCTTTTATGGTTGAATGATATTCCATTGTGTGGATAGACCATATTATGTTTATCCATTCATCCTTCAATGAACATTTGGGTCGTTTCGACCTTTTGACTACTGTAACTAGAGCTATGCATTGGTGTACAAATATCTGTTCTAGTCCCTGCTTTCAATTTCTCTGGGTATATAGTGTGCTGTTTCATGACCAGCTTTTCTCACTGATATATCGAGAACATTCTCCATACCAGTAGATGTACTTCTGCAACCAGATTTTTAAGGCATGCTCTGTACTCCACTGGTGACGTGGTGGTGACAGTTTAGTTAACAAAATATGTATTCTGAGATCCCTTAATAAAGTTTTCCACATAAGTACATCCTTATGCCTATATTTTAAAATTTATTTCTATTTTTATTTATTTATTTTTTAAGACTGGGTCTTGCTATGTTACATTGCCCAGGCTGGTCTCGAACTACTGGGCTCGAAGCTGTCCTCCTACCTCAGCCTCCCTAGTGCTGAGACTACAGTAATGTACCACCATGCCCAGCAATAAAATTTAATTTAATTTAATTTAATTTTTATTATTTATTAATTTTTGAGACGGGGTCTCACTCTGTCATCCAGGCTGGAGTGCAGTGGTGTAATCTCAGCTCACTGCAGCCTTGCCCTCCCAGGCTCAAGGTATTCTCCCACCTCAGCCTCCCAAGTATCTGGGACTACAGGTGCACACCACCACACCCAGCTAATTTTTTTTAAAAAAAGTTTTTTTGTAGAGACGGGGTTTCACCATGTTGCCCAGGCTGGTCTCAAACTCCTGGGCTCAAGCAATCCATTCGCCTCCACCTCCCAAAGTGCTGGGATTACAGGTATGCACCACTGCGCCTGGCCAAAACTTATTTCTATTTTTTTAACTTTTTAAAAAAATGTTTATTTTTTCAGATGGAGTCTCACTCTATTGCCCAGGCTGGACTACAATGGCATGATCTTGGCTTACTGCAACCTTCACCTCTTGGGTTCAAGCAATTCTGCCTCAGCCTCCCAAGTAGCTGGGATTACAGGCATGCACCACCACACCTGGCTAATTTTTGTATTTTTAGTAGAGACGGAGTTTCACCATGTTGGCCAGGCTGGTCTCAAACTCCTGACCTCAAGTGATCTGCCTCGGATCCTCGGCCTCCCAAAGTGCTGGGATTACAGGCGTGAGCCACCATGCCCAGCCTTTTTAATTTTAAATAATAAAAAAATAATAAGAAGAAAGAAACCTAAACGATTCGGTATTCCCAGGCTGTCTCCCATCCTAGTACTTAGCTTCTGAGATAAGACAAGATTGGGCGCGTTCAGGGTGGTGTGGCTGTACACCAGAACTTATTTTTAAATTGCACATGTAATACATGAATGTAGTCTTCTTGTGAAAAATGTAAACACTGAAGACAAAATTCAAGCTTGACCAGCCCCCAGAACTCAGACCTGCCCCCACCCACACTCCAAACAAGTCCTGGTATGTTTTTCTATATTTGGTGTGTACCCAAGGCCTCTGTCTATGTACATATACACATATATACGATAGACCCTTACAGAATACATGGTATCATACTATGACTTTCTGTGTAGACGGGCTGTTTTTCAAATTTCATTTTCTTTTGCCTTTGCTTATATCAGTGGTGCCATACTGAATGAAATTTCTGCACCTTGATTTTGTCACTAAGCAGTCTGTCTAAACTTGCACTTTTAATCTTTTCCAATCAGGATGAATTGCTGTCAGGGGAATGGCTGGGCAAAGGGCATGGTGAGGCTGTTCTGAAGCTTCAGCCCAGCCCTGTCGAGTCCAGGAGGTGCATGGTTGAGGCTGACCTGGTTAATGGCAGCCAGCAGCACTGCCCACACACCTGGGGCACCTTGGCCAAGGCACCTGGCCATCCTGTGTGCTCCCAGGGCCTGGGGTGGAGCATAATCTACAAGGCTGAAGAAAACTTCCTTGGCTCAGGCCAAGCGCTGGATCGTGGATTTCTCTTGGTGAGGGGCCTTGGGAGCTGAGGATAGAGTTCCTCTTGTCCTCGGTCTTTGGCACGTGGTCAGTACAGATCATGTAAGACCCCTCTTTTTATTTCACATCTGGCCAATTTAAGCTCTCTCCCCCTTCCCTTCAATGTTCTCTAGCCTGTCCAGGGATGCCCTATCCCCAGCCTCTGGCAAAGGACCCCCGCCCACTGGCGCTGCACTTCCCCAGGTCCTGCCCAGGCATTCCAGCTAGGCCCCGGGAGCCCCACTCTGCTTTTTACTGGGTCTAAAGTCAGATACCTTGGGGGCATTCTCCTAACCTCAGATGGAGCACCCGGAGCTAGCCAAGGGCCTGAACCAGGCAGCTCGTATGAGGTCCCAGGCTGGTGACCTGGGCCGGCCCTGCACTCTTCATCCTTCTGCCCGGGGCTGGCCACCCTCCCAGCACCTCACCACTGTTGCGGGCAGTCAGTAGGGGAGAGGGGGCACTTAGGGCCCAAAGCCTCCACTTCCTGCCTGGATACAGCTCCATCTTGGGCTTTTCTGGAGGGCCTGAGCAGGCTGGGCACACCCAAGTTGGCAGCTGAGCCAGGTCTGCAAACCCTCACCCGAGAGCTGGCAAGAGTTTCGAGTTTCGGTCAGCTTGTGGTCTGGCCTCTTTCTACCTCAGCTGCACCTGGGGCATGTGTGTGTTGGGGAGGGGTGTTGAACTCTGCTTGGCTCCTGCCTTCCTGAAACTGTCATCCTTTTCCTCATTCTGATGGGCTCCCATCTTGCTCCACGTCTCTGCACACAGATGCGTGCTTTTCCTGGTGGACAGACGGGCAAACGTGTCCAGAGAGGGCAAACGGCCTGCCTGGGGTCACATGCCCTGTCACACAGGCACTGAACCGGCCTTCATCTATTTCTTAAGCCAGCCCAGCATCCCTGACACATCTACACAGTTCCCAGCGCACCCCCAAATAGAGCCAAGCCTGGGTTCTGGCCCTAGCCCCAAAAAACGTCCTTAAGGATTGGAGGAAGAGCTGTCCAGCTCAGACCCAAAGATCCCACACGGCTGGGCAGCGCCCTCTGTTGGCTGTGGTTGGGAGTGCGTGGACACTGGAAAGCCAGGGGTGAACCCTCTGTCCCGACTGGGGCCTTCCCACCAAGGCAGGCAGTGTCTCCCAGGACATCTCAGCAGGCAGTCGGGAGCCCCTGCTCCATTTTGCAGGTGGCATTGTGTGACAAGTGTGCCTCCTCTCTTTATACCTCAAGTTTCCCCACTTTTCACTCTAAGGCTGAGACCCATTGGCACTTCCCTGGAGAAAGTGAAGGAGCATAAATGCTACGTCCCTTAGGAGAGACGTGCTATCTGCTTACCCTGCATTGTCAGCCAGCTCCAGACCCACCAAGACGCGGCACTTCCTCTTGAGCCTTTCCTGGAATCTGCCAAGTCTCTCTCTCCCACCCCCTCCCTCCTCGTCACCCCTGGGCTGCCTGCGACTTCCACTGGCTGAGCACCCAGCTGATCTGTAGCCAGATAATCAGATTATTGTGGGTCTAGAATAATCTATTCCATATGGCTTGCCAGCTCAGTGGCTCCGAGAGCTGAAGGTGTGAGGGGAGGGAGTGATCGTCCTTGGAAGGGGCTGCCCTGGGAGCTGCGGAGCCTCAGCGGGAGGCTGATAGGAAAGGAAGCACAGGTGGGGGAAGGTGAGCCCGCCTTGCTGGGCCCTCTGACTTCTCTGGGCTTCAGCCCAAGCATGGCCTCCAGGCCTCACGATCTGAGACCCACAGGGGCTGGGTGCTCCCCAGGGCCTTTCCCACCTTTTGATTGGGGTGGGGTGTTCACCGTGGGGCACCGCTGCATAATTTCAGGGAGATTTTATTTTTTATCCTCAGGCTGCATCCTCCAGGGATCTGGTCCATGAAGTCCAGATGGGGCCTGCAAGCTCTTCTTCTTCTTTCTTCTTCTCTCTTCTTTCTTCTTTCTTCTCTCTTCTCTCTTCTTCTTCTTCTTTTCTTCTTCTTCCTCTTCCTTCTTCCATCTTTCTTCTTCTTCTTTATTCTTCTTCTTCCTTTTCTTTGTTTGTTTGTTTTTTTTGAGACAGTTTCACTCTTGTTGCCCAGGTTGGAGTGCAGGGGTGTGATCTCGGCTCACTGCAGCCTCCACCTCCCAGGTTCAAGCAATTCTCCTGCCTCAGCCTCCCGAGTAGCTGGGATTACAGGCACCCACCACCGTGCCTGGCTAATTTTTTGTATTTTTATAGAGATGGGGTTTCTCCATGTTGACCAGGCTGGTCTCGAACTCCTGGCCTCAGGTGATCCACCCACCTCAGCCTCACAAAGTGTGGGGATTACAGGCGTGAGCTACTGTGCCCGGCCTCTTTTTCTTCTCAGTCTCTGTGATGTGAAGCAAGGCTTAATGTGACCGGAGGGGTCCCCAACCCCTTCACTCTTAGGACCTCCCTCCAGGATGGAAGGAGCCACTCATCCTCCGAAGGAGACATGGGAGATATAGGGAGGACAGAACAGAGGCTTTGGCCTCTGACAGAGACAGATGGATGCCAGCTCAGCCCCTGCTCACCCTGTTAGGTGGGACAATCTCTCTGAGCCTCTGTTTCCTCATCTACAAAGTGGGGGCCACTACACCCACATCAAAGTGTGTTGTGAGTGTGAGCAGCGACCCTGCAAAGCTCCAGCCCAGTGCCAGACCTCGGGGGACAGTAGTGTGCACGCACGCTCCATGCAGCCTGAGTTGATCCGCACATGCTCAGCCCAGAAGGCAGGAATTACCCTGTGGCACAGCAACAGACAAGACACTGAGGCCAGAGATGGAGAGCGAGGTGCCCAAGTGGCACAGGTAGTGCATGGCAAGGCAGGGCCTCATGCCCACATTGGCCAGACTCCAGAGGAGTGTCCTGGGCTGTCTGAAGGCGGAGGCTTCACTACTAACAATCTCTCCCCTGAGAGGGTTGCTGCAGAGGTGTGGCGGGAAGATCCTTGGCTGTGGGGGACACCCAAATTAGGAGCTTCCCAGGAGATGCTAAGTAGGCTGGCAGTAGGAGAGCCGCTTCCTTCTCCTGGGGCCTCTGGCTCCGGCAGGGACAGGATTAGGGTCTGCAAGGGGACGATTTACATAGCACCTCTGATTAGTACTCCTATGTCAGAGGGACTGGCTGGGAAATGAGGGCCTTGGGGCTGGGAGGGGGGCCGGGCAGTGCCCAGGACCCAGGTTTGGCGTGAGAAGCGGGCTGGGTAGAGTGGGGAGGCTGAGGTCCAGGCCTGAGCCTGAGAGGGTGCTGCCCTGTCCAGCCTGCCCCCCATGCTGGCCTCAGCTTGCTCTGTCACCTCTGCTCCTGTGGGGCTGCCCCAAGGCCTCATTTCCCAGCCTTACACGTTTGGCAGAGGGTAGGCTCGGGCCAGGGGAGCAGAGGCCACTAGCTCCGGCACTTGTCAAAACACAGGCCCCAGAGGTGTGAAGGCCTCACCCCAGTGGGAGAGCGTGTGGGCCCTGCCGCCCGGAGAACTCATTAACTCAGGCAGCCCCCACATGAACCCACCGGAGAGGCTGGCCACAATAAGGAGATCAAAGGGGAGACAGGCAGGGGACAGGGAAGAGGAGGCTGGCTGGTGGGAGGCGGCAGGGACTGGGCTTCAGGTTGGGGTGCCTCCCATCCCTTAACTTGGTTCCATCAGGCCCACTGACCATTGCCCTTGCACCAGCTGGGCCCCTGGGGCGACTTCCCAGAGACCCCAGGGGAGGGAGGGACTCCATGTGTTCCCTTCAATTTGTCAGCCTTGAGGGCTGAAGACCCCAAAGACGGGACTGGGGATAGAACCTTCCCATCTGCCCCACCTCTCTCTTGCCATATTTGTGGGTTGTCTCCACAACTCACCCCTGTGCCTTTCTAACCCTACCTCAGTGGTGACACGAGGGATCTTCCTGTCACAGGCCATTCCTGATGTCCCTCTCCTGCTCCATATCTCTTGGTGGCTCCCACGTGCTCACTTAACATTAGCTATTAGGTTTCAGATCTGAGAACTTCTAGGGGCTGTGGTTTCAACATAAAGTGTGCTTCCCACACATATGGTCTCTTGTCCAAATATGTGTAGTTGATTTTGTACTTAATAAAATACAGGCTGGGCATGGTGTCTCATACCTATAATCCCAGCACTTTGAAAGGCTGAGGTGGGAGGATCACTTGAAGCTAGGAGTTTGAAACCAGCCTGGGTAACAAAGTGAGACTCAGATTCTACAAAAAAAAATATATATATATTTTTTTTTATTTATATATATATTTTTTGAGACAGAGTCTCGCTCTGTCACCCAGGCTGGAGTGTGGTGGCACCATCTCGGCTCACTGCAACCTCCGCCTCCTGGGTTCAAGCAATTCTCCTGCCTCAGCCTCCCAAGTAGCTGGGACTACAGGCACCCGCCACCATGCCTGGCTAATTTTTTTGTATTTTTAGTAGAGACGGGGTTTCACTGTGTTATCCAGGATGCTCTCAATCTCCTGACCTCCTGATCCACCCACCTTGGCCTCCCAAAGTGCTGGGATTACAGGTGTGAGCCACTGCGCCCGGTCCAAAATAATATTTTTTAATTAGCTGGGTGTGGTGATGCACGGTGCCTGTGGTTCCAGCTACTGAGGAGTATGAAGTGGGAGGATTGCCTGAGCCCAGGGGATCGAGGCAGCAGTGAGCCAAGATTGCGCTACTGCACTCCAGCCTGCGTGACAGAGCAAGACCCTGAAAAAGAAAAAGAAAATAAACAAACAAACAAAAAAACCCAAAACCAAATTCATTTCAAAGCATTGTTGACAACCCAGTAATGGCGGTTTCTTCTGGCACAGGCAATTGGGAGCCCCAGAGCAGGATGGTAAACAGGTTTGCTCTACCTTCTGCACGTGTTGACTTTGTAACTATGTGTAAAGCAAATGCTCTACTTGCAAATAAAGATACGAAGATAAAACACGAGTTTGTGGTCATTCTGAGTTTACTCAAGTAAAGCTACGAAATGAAGTCACAATCATGCGAGAATCAGGGCTTTCTTGGCATTGAGAGGCTTAGCAGTCCCTGGACCACAGGGCACCTGGAGCCTCCTGAGGTCCAGCCTTTCTGCTTTCTGGCCTTTTCTTTTCTTTCTTTTCTTTTCTCTCTTCTTTTTTTCTTTTTCTTTCTTTCTTTCTTTCTTTTTTTTTTTTTGAGACGGAGTCTTGCTCTTGTTGCTCAGGCTGGAGTGCAATGGTGAGATCTCAGCTCACCACAACCTCCACCTCCTGGGTTCAAGTGATTCTCCTGCCTCAGCCTCTCAAGTAACTGGGATTACAGGTGCCTGCCACCATGCCCAGCTAATTTTTTTGTATTTTTAGTGGAGATGGGGTTTCACCATTTTGGCCAGGCTGCTCTCGAACTCCTGACCTCAGGTGATCCACCTGCCTCGGTCTCCCAAAGTGCTGGGATTACAGGCGTGAGCCACCATGCCCGGCCGCCTTCTGGCCTTTTCTCTGCACCCACTCCCACCCCGGCACACAGAACACTTTACCAATTCCCAACCGCATGTTCCCTTGGGGCCTAGTGGCATCAAAGAGGCCCAGTCACTGGGCCCCCATGCCAGTTTCCTGAGTTGGCTCTGGAGCCCAGGAAGGCATCCATCTGCTGCAGTCCAGGAGTGGGCTCTGCTGACAGCTGCAGGCTGAGGAAGTGCCTCTTGGGCCAGGCTGTCCTTGGGTGTAGATGGATCCTAGGGCATATGCACAGGGAGGGGGCTTCTCCCCTTCTCCCCACTCTAGGGGTTGGCTGGCACTGCTTCTCCTGGATGTGATCCTGGGCATAGGCATTCTGGGGCTGCTGGGACAGACTGCAGAGGAGGAGGAACAGAAGGTGTCAGAGGAGGCCAAGAACAGCAGGAGACAGAAGAGATCCCAGGAAGGAGGGGTGGGAGACATGCCCAGGGAGAAGGTACCATGCCATGGGGCCATCATCGCTACAAACCAGCTCACCCATCAGGCTCACTGGGCTGGAAGCTATGGGGGAATGCAAAACATCAGACCAGCAAAACTGGAATCCCAGCACTTTGGGAAGCTGAGGCGGGCAGATCACTTGAGGTCAGGAGTTCAAGGCCAGCCTGGCCAACATGATGAAACCCCATATCTACAAAAAAATACCAAGATTAGTCAGGCATGGTGGCATGCGCCTGTGGTCCCAGCTATTCAGGAGGCTGAGGTGGGAGGATCGTTTGAGCCTGAGAGGCAGAAGCTGCAGTGATCCCAGATCATGCCACTGTGCTCTAGCCTGGGCAATAGGGCAAGACTCTCTCTCAAAAAAAGAAAGAAAACAATCAAACACAAATTGGGACACATATCTATTCCACATCAGCTAATCAACTCTGAGTGTCCTGTACTGCTTGGATAAGTAACAAAGTATTACATACTGACATTATTCCAAAGGAGTTTACAATCTACTAGAAACAATTAGGATTTAAAACATAAGAGCATGAACAAGAAGACAAATAGTTTGGAAAACTACCATACTAAAGTTCAGAGAAAGCTTCATCAAAGGTAAAAATTGGGCTGGGACTGGGCACAGTGGTTCATGCCTGTAATCCCAGCACTTTGGGAGGCTCTCTTGAAGTCAGGAGTTCCACATGGAGAAACTCCGTCTTTACTAAAAACACAAAAATTAGCTGGGCGTGCTGGCACACACCTGTAGTCCCAGCTACTTGAAAGGCTGAGGCAGGAGAATCGCTTGAACCCAGGAGGTGGAGGATGCAGTGAGTCGAGATGGTGCCACTGCATTCCAGCCTGGGTGACAAAGCGAGACTCCATCTCAAAATAAATAAACAAACAAATAAAAATAAAAATGTTGAGCTAGGTTTTGATGTTTAGAAAGCTTGCTAAGTAGGAATGAGGGCACTACAGGGTGGGGCAGTGGCATGGACAACGGCAGAGAGGTGGGACTTGGTGTGTGCGTGTGTGTGTGTGTGTGTGTGTGTGTGTAGAAAACAGAGGAAGACAAGTCTCATGTGCCAAGGGGTCTGTGTCCCAGAGCAGAGACAGCCTGAGGGCTGAGAGGATCCACATTCCAGAGATCTTGGAGGCCAGAGGAAAGAATGTAGATTGAAGGGAAGATGGAAGAAATGTTTCCTACAGAAGATTAGACTGGGTGAAGGAAGTTGGGAGAAAGACTGGATTCGGGTAATGGAAAGAAAAGCAAAGAAAGAGGTGGACCTGAAGAAAATACAGAAAGAAGGGATGTCATCTGGTGACGGCTTGGAAGGAGAAGGTGAAGTGGGAATCCCTGCAATTTCATACCATGAAGAAAGCTGGTATTGCTGAGAACCAGGCCAGTTAAGCAGAGAAGATGGGCGAGGGGTGAGTGGAGGGGTAGGGAGGAAAGGGGGTGGAGGAGGGAGGGGACGATGAGTGGTTTGGTGTACACCAAGCTTGTCCAACCCACGGCCCAGGATGGCTTTGAATGTGGCCCAACACAAATAAACTTCTTAAACATTCCGTAAACTCCTTAAAACATTATGAGTTTTTTTTTTTTTTTTTGCAATTTTGTTAGTGCAGTAGCTATCATTAGTGTATTTTTTTTTTCTTTTTTTAGACAGAATCTTGCTCTGTCACCAGGCTGGAGTGCAATGGCACAATCTCAGCTCCCTGCAACCTTTACTTCCCAGGTTCAAGCGATTCTCCTGCCTCAGCCTCCCGAGAGCTGGGACTACAGGCATGCGCCACCACACCAGGTTAATTGTTTGTATTTTTAGTAGAGACAGGGTTTCATCATGTTGGCCAGGCTGGTTTCGAACTCCTGACCTCAAGTGATCCCCCTGCCTCGCCCTCCCAAAGTGCTAGGATTACTGGCTTGATCCCATGGTGCCCAGCCTCATTACTGTATTTTATATGTGATTCAAGAAAATTCTTTGTCTTTCAATGTGGCCAGGAGGCGGAGGTTGCAGTGACCCAAGATTGCGCCACAGCACTCCAGCCTGAGCGACAGAGCCAGACCCTGTCTCAAAAAAAAAAAAAAAAAAAAAAATCAGACATCTGGCACTGAAAGAAACCATTCCGCTTGAAAACAGGTAAAGATATGATGCCAGACACCCAGACACCAGGTACTTCACAGTCTGGCTGGAGAGCAGATAGCCATGCACGAAGTACCTATTAAGACCAGGGTGCAAACTCAAACTCCTGAGGGGCCAGGTGAAATTTCATCCAGGCTGCAGTGCAATGGAGCGATCTTGGCTTACCATAACTTCCGCCTCCCGGGTTCAAGCGATTATCCTGCCTCAGCCTCCCGAGTAGCTGGGATTGCCGGCGTCTGCCACCATGCCTGGCTAATTTTTGTATTTTTAGTAGAGACGGGGTTTCGCCATGTTGGCCAGGCTGGTCTCAAACTCCTGATCTCACGATCCACCCTCTTCGGCCTCCCAAAGTGCTGAGATTACAGGTGTTAGCCATTGTGCCTGGCCCTTTTCTAATATTCTTTAACAACTCTGCTTTCTTGGATGGGAATTCATGAGCTCTAGTACTTGAGGAGATTTTCATCTGTAGATGTTAGGATTTTCTTATCTACTATATTCAGCACCCATCCTGGAGCAAACTCAAAGAAAATCTGCCTTGGATCCTTCTGAGTACTGAACATTTGAAGAGTTCTTCTTTCGTGATATCCAGTAAATTAGAACTGTCCTTCCTGGCAAGCTCAAGTTGTGCTTCAGGAAATTTGGCAGGATCTGCCAGGTTCCCACGATTCTTTGCATTGGTGGAATATGGTACCAGTGCTTCAGAAGGAAGCATTCTTTTTGGAATGGGTTGTCTCCAAAAAGAATGGAACAGGTTTGGATAGAATTTCCAGACTTCTTGGATCCTGTAAGGCTGTAGTGACACCACCACCATTTTTTTCAATTGCAGCAATAGCTAGTTCTGAAGCCAACTGTACTTCAATATTAACTTTTTTTTTTTTTTTTTTTTTTTTGGACAGGGGGTCTCACTCTGTCATCAGACTGGAGTGCAGTGGCATGATCTCAGCTCACTGCAACCTCCACCTCCCGGGTTCAAGTGATTCTCCTACCTCAGCCTCCCAAGTAGCTGGGACTACAGGCACGTGCCACCATGCCTGGCTAATTTTTGCATTTTTAATAAGACGGGGTTTCACCACGGTGGCCAGGGTGGTCTCAATCTCCTGACCTCATGATCCACCCCCCTTGGCCTGCCAAAGTGCTGGGATTACAGGTGTGAGCCACCGCGCCCGGCCCAATATTAACTTTCACCTGAAAGGTGTCTGCGGCCTTTTCGACCAGCTGAACACCATAATCCTCTTTAAGTGGCTGAATGGTCACACCTCTTCCATTGACAAGCTGGGTTAAGTCAATAGGTTGAGTAGGATCAACACGACCCAAATCAGTAACATATTACAGTCTATTGATACTTAAAGGTTGATACTGGTGTCTGAAGCTAAGTCCTTCATTAAATCTGTATTTTGGGATTCCGATGTAAAATAGAGTCTGGCCATCCCCAAAGCCCAGCAGAGCCAGTTTCCTCTCTGCCTTTCTCTTTTATGGCCTCTGCCGCATTTTCTACCTCTTCTCCGACCTTTTGGTCGTCTCATGGGTTTCCTGGAGCCAGGATTCCGCTTTAAATTGGTCAGGCTCATGCGCAGCAGGGCCCAGAGCTGCCATAACCTGCGAAAAGAGTTTTATTTCTTCCTTTCTGACCTGTATGTCTTTTGTTTCCTAATTGCATAGCCTAGATCCTCCATCTGGTACAATGTTGAATAGGAGTGGTAAGAGAGACACCCTCGCTTTGTTCCTGCAATCGGGGGGTGGGGGGAAGATTTCAGTCTTTCACTACTCAGTATGAGGCTACCTGTAGGTTCTTTGTAGGAGCCTTTCATCAGGTTGATGAAATTCCTCTCTATTCTTAGTTTGCTGAGAATTTTCATCACGAAGGGTGTTGGATTTTGTCAAATGCCTTTGCTGCGTCATTTCCACTCACATTTCATTGGGAAAACCTGTTATACCTGTCCAATAGCGGCAGAACATCAGGTAAAGGCCAGTGGTGACAGCTGTGGCAACAGGCCAAGCTCCAGACCTTGCCAGGCTAGAGGTGGCCTGGGGTTGGAGCAGGCTTAACCCCCTCCCTCTGCTCAGAAGGTCCAGCATCCTGACCAGACTCGGCAGCTTATTGAATTTGCCGGGGTGCAAGCTTCCTTGCACTGTCCACATGTTCTTACCAGGGAAGGGTCTACCCAGGGCCATCCTGCCTCAAAGGAGAAGTGGTTTACTGTTTTCTCCACCTTTAGAGGGAATGAGGGTCCCTGCTCCTGGTCCTTACTCTACTCCACTGTCCAATTGGCGCATGCCCTGAGGCTCTCATTATACAAATTGGAAGCTAAGGTGCAAAAGAACTAAGAATTTGCATAAGGTCCCCAACAGGTGAAGGCAGGCCCCAAACCTAGGATCTAGATTTCGTTTTTCTGACCCCGCTTCCTTTAACCTGCAGGGCTGGCCCAACGCCCCGGGCTTCACCCAACACTGGGCGCAGGCGGGAAGGCCGAGAGGCTGGGTCGGGCGCCCAAGCGAGGGCCCAGGTGGGGCGAAACAGGCGCAGTCAAGGGGCTGGCACCTTGGCCCCCCGCCGTGGATTCAAAGGGTCAGGCTCCGCCCCCTCCAAGCCCCGAGCCCACTTTGATGTGCTGATGCGGCCTGGAAGGGGCCACTTCACACCTCGGGCTCGGCATAAAGCGGCCGCCGGCCGCCGGCCCCCAGACGCGCCGCCGCTGCCATGGCCCAGCCCCTGTGCCCGCCGCTCTCCGAGTCCTGGATGCTCTCTGCGGCCTGGGGCCCAACTCGGCGGCCGCCGCCCTCCGACAAGGACTGCGGCCGCTCCCTCGTCTCGTCCCCAGACTCATGGGGCAGCACCCCAGCCGACAGCCCCGTGGCGAGCCCCGCGCGGCCAGGCACCCTCCGGGACCCCCGCGCCCCCTCCGTAGGTAGGCGCGGCGCGCGCAGCAGCCGCCTGGGCAGCGGGCAGAGGCAGAGCGCCAGTGAGCGGGAGAAACTGCGCATGCGCACGCTGGCCCGCGCCCTGCACGAGCTGCGCCGCTTTCTACCGCCGTCCGTGGCGCCCGCGGGCCAGAGCCTGACCAAGATCGAGACGCTGCGCCTGGCTATCCGCTATATCGGCCACCTGTCGGCCGTGCTAGGCCTCAGCGAGGAGAGTCTCCAGCGCCGGTGCCGGCAGCGCGGTGACGCGGGGTCCCCTCGGGGCTGCCCGCTGTGCCCCGACGACTGCCCCGCGCAGATGCAGACACGGACGCAGGCTGAGGGGCAGGGGCAGGGGCGCGGGCTGGGCCTGGTATCCGCCGTCCGCGCCGGGGCGTCCTGGGGATCCCCGCCTGCCTGCCCCGGAGCCCGAGCTGCACCCGAGCCGCGCGACCCGCCTGCGCTGTTCGCCGAGGCGGCGTGCCCTGAAGGGCAGGCGATGGAGCCAAGCCCACCGTCCCCGGTTAGTGTCCCCTTCCCCGCGCCCCCTTCGTCCGTGCCCCCGCGCACAGCCCCACCGCCCGCCAAGGTGAGGACCAGGCACCCTGCTGCTCCCCGCCGGCAGCCTGGCCACCTGGCCACCATAGTATGCCCAGGGCTCCAAGAAGCGAAGGCAGGGAAAGGCCACGCAGAGGACTGGGTCTCCCCTCGCTAGGGGCCCCCTGAGAGTGGAGCCCACGAGCGCGGACACCCGCACAAGGCCACCAGTGCTTGAGGGCTGCGCTGTTCCGTCTCTCCCTACAGCTCCTTCCGGGCGACGTGCTGGCTCTGTTGGAGACCTGGATGCCCCTCTCGCCTCTGGAGTGGCTGCCTGAGGAGCCCAAGTGACAAGGGACAACTGACGCCGTCTCTGTGAGCACCGAGGCTTTTTGGCCTCAGCACCTTCGAAGTGGTTCCTTGGCAGACTGCCTTTCCTGGAAGAGGGCACGGGCGATCCCGACGGGGGCATTCCTGCGGGTGAGAGCCGTCCCCACCGCGGCGGCCCTTCTCAGCCCCTCCCTCCATGGAGGGACCCATAGGGCTAGACACTTTGAGGCAAGCAGGAGGCTCTGCCTAATGTGAATTTATTTATTTGTGAATAAACTGTACTGGTGTCAGTTGGCAATTTCTTCTTCCTACCCGTGGACACAGAGCTCCCTCTCTCCCTCCAAAGAAGAGCATGGGAGAGGTGGGAGGGGTTCTTGCAATCTTTAGCCCCCCGACCCCCACAGGCCCAGACCCCTTTGGCCTTACCCCCAGCCCTGGCTCAGCATCTAGTCCAGATGGGTCAGCCTGGAATGGGTGGGGAGGGACGTCCTGTGAGAAGGCAGCGGCAAGTAGAATCTGCTCATCTTTTCTTTGAACCTGGTGGGGAACTGGTTAAAACCAAAATATCTGTGTAGAAATACAACTCCATTATTGAGTATTTATTGTATGTACATCAGGTACCTATTATACTCAAGTAACCATTTTACAGAAGGATGAGGATCAGCGCTCAAGCCCAGGTAGGCCTCCAGAGTCCCAGCGCTCAGCTCTTGTGGGATTTTGCCAGCTCCATACATGTTGGGGCCTGAGGGATAACAGCTCCAAGGGGTTATTTTCTTGCATCCTGTGGTCTTATTCTCCATGCACGGGAGCATCCTGGCCTTGGAACTCCCCCACCCTCCGCCGGCATTTTCCCATCTGCCTTTTCTCTGGTTTCCCCACCTTGTGGCTTAGAGACATAAATAATGGTGTGGCGGTCCTGAGTTTATATAACCATGACCTCCTACAGGCCTAGATGGGGTGAGATGAGGGGCCCATGGGGTTGCATCGGAATCCACACAGGCAGTTGCGTGCCTGTCTGCATTGGCTGGATTCACATCAGGGAGCAAGAAACGGGAGGCTTGAGCCCAGAAAGTGTGTCCTCATCCAGCCAGGGTGTCTGGGCAACAGTCATGATTAGAGGGTGCGGTGGGGAGAAGGGATGTGTAGCCTCTCTGCCAAGCGTCCTTTACCCTCTATGGATAGATACCCAGTTCTCCCCTCCTCTCCTTCAAGTGTCTGAAACACAGGCTTCAGTGTCTGTTTTTATAAGAGCTTTATTAGGATACAATTCACATACCATAAAATTCACTCTTTTAACAACTGAATGGCTTTAGTACATCCACAGAGTTGTGCAAGCATTGCCACTAATTTTAGAACGTTTTCACCCCCCAAAAGAAACCGTATACCTGTTAACATCACTCCTCACTATTCCCTACTCCCAGTCCCTGGCACTCACTCTTCTAGTCTCTGTCTCTATAGGTTTGCTTTTTCAGGACATTTCATATAAAAGGAATCGCAAAATACGGCCTTTTGTGTCTGGCTTCTTTCACTGAGCACAATGTTTTTAAGGCTCATCATGCTGCCTCCTGTGTCAGAACTTCGTTTCTTTTTATTGCCCAATAATCTTCCATTGTTCAGCTACATGACAGTTGGTTTATCCGTGGTTCATCCGCTGATGCCGCTCGGTTTGTTTTTCAACTGCTTCAGAGATCACTTCCAGTACTCCGGCCCGGGCCAGGAGGGGCGGTAATGCAGAGTGGGATCGAGTCCCTGATCTGCAGTTCAGGGGTCCAGGCCAGGCAGGGCACACCCGGCCTGGCGCTTGGCCACAGAGTGGGCTCCAAAAGTCAGGCCTGCAGCGGGGTGGGACCTCACACCTCCGCGGGTCACCCCCTTTCCTGCTCCTCTGTCCCATCTCTCACTCCCCTCCCAGGACCCTAACTGGGGTAGAGTGGGAAGTTTTCTGGAGCCGACACAGCTTAGAAGATCTATTTGCATGGCAAAGGCCCTGCGTTTTAGAATGGGGAATTAAAGTTATTAGCAAGTCTTTTCACAGATAAGTGGGGCTCATTGGCTAGCCCCCTTCCCTGCAGAGGGCTTCTCCTCCGCCTCTGAGCCTGGGAGTGGCCCAGTGTTTATTAGCACCTAGGTGTGAATTTTCATTAACAAGGTTCTGCTAATAGCTGCCCAGACTCAGGACTGGAGATAGGCAGGGGACATCTCCCACTGCTCCAGCATCCCCAACCCCCATCCCGGGCAGCCCCATCCCACACCCGGAGGAAACCCTGTGTGCCTGTTCACAGAGCCGACAACAGTAGCCAGCGTCCAGGTAGGCGCCCCGTGCCGGGTGGTAGTGGAGCCTCCCTCACCTCAGTTCTCAGCCCCGCTGCAAGGTAACCCCAGCTGCAGGGCCACTTTAAGAACAGGAGCGTTAAGAAAAAGGCTGCAGATGGTGGGTGGCAGTGTTGGGATCTGGACCCGGCTGTGACTCCAGACCTGTGTGCGTAATCACCAGGTGTGCTGCCTTCGCTTCGGCTGAACACCAGCTTGTCTCAAGAACAGAGGGTACTGGGGGGCGCCTCACCTCCCCTGAGGCCCAGTCAGGGTGCCCCACTGTGGAGTGGTCTGGGCCAGGCCCCACGTGCCGTGGAGGGAGTAGTGAGAAGGACTGCACCGGCACAGGGGTGCCCGCTGAGGCCAACTAGCTGCCCGCTGGTCCCCACTAGTCCCCAGCCGCCCTCCTCTTCTGGGGCTCTGCTTTCACAGGGCCACCTAGTGAGAAGGCCAGCGCAGGGAAACCAGCATTTCCAGAGCAGCGACCCTTGGCCGGGCTGTGTGCTTGGGGCTTAAAATTTGGGCTCAGGGCCGCTGGCAAGGTGGGTAGGTTTGCACTCTCTCTGTTTTACAGGCAGAAGCTGACGCACAGGGAACTCGAGGAACTTTCCATAAGGCTAGTGTGCAGCCCCTGGGGACGGGCCAACTGTGGGCTGGTGGTTGGTGAAGCCTGTCTTTGCAAGAGCCCTGGCAGCAAGGTAGGGGTGTGTGTGTGTGTGTGTGTGTGTGTGTGTGTGTGTGTGTGTGTGTATGTGGCAGTGGGGCTGTGTGTGTGGCGGCGGGGCTGTGTGTGTGTGTGTGCATGCGCATGTGTGTGTGGTGGGGCTGTGTGTGTGCGTGAGCATATGTGTGTGTGTGGCGGCGGGGCTCTGTGTGCACGTGTGTGTGGCAGCGGGGCTGTGTGTGTGTGTGTGTGTGGAGGTGGGGCTGTGTGTGGAGGCGGGGCTGTGTGTGTGGCTGGGGCAGCAGGGCTCTGTGTGTGTGTGTGTGTGGCGGCAGGGCTGTGTGTGTGGAGGCGGGGCTGTGTGTTTGTGGAGGTGGGGCTGTGTGTGTGTGTGTGTGGGGAGGTAGGGCTGTGTGTATATGTGTGGGGAGGTAGGGCTGTGTGTATATGTGTGGGGAGGTAGGGCTGTGTGTGTGTGGAGGCGGGGCTGTGTGTGTGTGTGGAGGTGCGGCTGTGTGTGTTTGTGTGGGGAGGTAGGGCTCTGTGTGTGTGTCTCTGTGTGTGGAGGCGGAGCTGTGTGTGTGTGGAGGCGGGGCTGCGTGTGTTTGCGGAGGCAGGGCTGTGTGTATGTGTGGAGGTTGGGCTGTGTGTGCGTGTGTGGAGGTTGGGCTGTGTGTGTGTGTGGAGGCGGGGCTGTGTGTGTAGAGGCAGGGCTGTGTGTGTGTGTGGAGGTGTGGATGCTGTGTGGAGGTGTGGATGCGGTGTGGATGTGTGGAGGTGTGGATGCTGTGTGGATGTGTGGATGTGTGGAGGTGTGGATGCTGTGTGGATGTGTGGATGTGTGGATGTGTGGAGGTGTGGATGCTGTGTGGATACTGTGTGGATGTGTGAATGTGTGGAGGTGTGGATGCTGCATGGACGTGTGGAGGTGTGGATGCTATGTGGATGATGTGTGGATGTGAGTAAGTGAGGATGCTGTGTGGAGGTGAGTAGGTATGGATGCTGTGTGGAGGTGTGGATGCTATGTGGATGCTGTGTGGATGCTGTGTGGATGCTGTGTGGAGGTGTGGATGCTGTGTGGAGCTGTGGATGCTGTGTGGAGGTGTGTATGTGTGGAGGTGTGGAGGTGTCAGGTGTGGATGCTGTGTGAAAGTGTGGATGCTGTGTGGAGGTGTGTATGTGTGGAGGTGTGTATGCGTGGAGGTGTGGATGTGTGGAGGTGTGGATGTGTGGAGGTGTTGGTGTGTGGATCCTGTTGGGAGGAGTGGAGGTGTGGATGCTCTTTGGAGGTGTGGATGTGTGGAGGTGTTGGTGTGTGGATCCTGTGGGGAGGAAAGGAGGTGTGGATGCTGCACCTGGGCATTGGTATGCCTTGCTCTAGTTCCAACCATACCCTGAGAAGACATAAGGTTCTTTTTTTTTTTGACACAGAGTCTCGCTCTTTCGCCCAGGCTGGAGGGCAGTGGCGTGTTCTTGGCTCACTGCAAGCTCCGTCTTCTGGGTTCATGCCATTTTCCTGTCTCAGCTTTCCCGAGTAGCTGGGACTACAGGTGCCCATCACTACGCCTCGCTAATTTTTTGTATTTTTAGTAGAGACGGGGTTTCACCTTGTTAGCCAGGATGGTCTCGATCTCCTGACCTCATGATCCGCCCGCCTCAGCCTTCCAAAGTGCTGGGATTACAGGCTTGAGCCACCGCGCCCGGCCAACACAGGTTCTTGATGTTTCCATGGGGTCTGTCACCCAGAGGGCAAGGACCTCTTTTGGGCCCACAGGCATGGCCAGCTCTGCCTGGGGCTGCACAGGCGGAAGTGGCTGGAGCCCTGGCAGCGCAGCCTACCAGCTGGGGAGCACTAGCCTCGTGCTGACCGGCCCTGGTTCCTTCTCCCTCGTCCCGCTGGTGGGACCTGGCACATAAGACGCCTTGTGAATGCCTCAGATCCCCTCTCCCCACCCGCTCTCCCCTCACACGCTGGGAAAGGAGAAGGTGGCCAGGTGTGGGCAGCACATGTCTTGGCAGAGGGTGGGCTGGGCTCCCTGCTGCCTCTGCTGGGCCGGGTGCCTCTGTTGTCTGCCTGCTCAGTATCCCTCCTGCCTTCCTCCCTCATGGCCCTGTCATTTCCTTTCCCCAGAGAGCTCTTCCCCTTGTCAGTCCTTGGTTTGGGGGTGGGAATACCTCTCCCTCCCTCCAGGGATGGACACCTGCCGCAGCCCTGACCATCATTACAGTGAGTGGTTCAGGAAAGAGACTACATGCAGGCCAGTGAGGAGCAGGCTCAGGGCTTTGCCGGCACTATTGGGAAGGGGTGGTCCACCGGGTGCTTCTGGTGTCACCCAAGTGGAAGGCCTGCCTGAAGGGGGAATTAGAACTGAGAGGCGGAGGGAGACTCCAGGTGTGATCTCAACACCTGGGGTTGGATCCAGCCACACCAAGAGTGTGACTCCTGGATGGCTAAGTTATCTGAGCCAACACATCCCCCTTTTTGCTAAAGGTAGTTTGTGTTCGGTTTCTAGCATTTGCTATGGAGAAGCCCACGGGGACTGGACACAGGCTGTTCTACGCTGTCTCACCTGAGTCTCAGTTCCCTGCTCTGTAAAATGGGGATAACAATAACATCTATGTTTCACAAGGTTGCTTAAAGCTTAAATGTAAAATACACCAACCACAGAAATGTTGGTTCCCCAACACCTTAGGTGGTGTGTAAGCCAAGACCATCTTCCTAAGTTCTCCTTCCTCGTCTCCAGAGAGCTGCCAGAGCACCTGCTGTGTAGAGGGAATTACTGCCAACAGGTATGTTGGCGGCTATATTTCATTCCCATGGTGGGGTGTGGAGAGGGCCAGAGTGTCTCAGGCGGGGATACCTTCATCCCGGGGGACAGTCAGCTAGCCAGCATCAGTGCCACATGGAAGTTGTCTGGCCAACAAGGAATGTGGTATGTGACCCAGGGAGGAGGTGGATGGGGCTGCAAAACAGCAGCCATCACAAACTCTGAGTGCAGTCACCCTCCCAGGTAGTTTCTCACCCAAGAGACTGAGCAGGCCTAGGACCAGGCTGGGACACTTGAGCCCCCTCAGCCTCCAAGGTTCCACACAGGGTCCTCACGGATCCCTTGGGCTGCTGGGGACCCCTCCGTCTGTTTTTTGGGGGAGGACAGTTTCTAGAGAAGAACAAGGCATCTCTCTGCCCAGCCACCTCTAGCGTTCCTGAGCCAGCAGGCCAGGGGCAGCAGTGGCCCAGCTCCTGCCTGCCACCTCTCCCTCCCACTCTGCCTCTCGTACCTGTGTGGCCTCAGGCCCTTACGCCACCATCCTGAGCCTCACCTCCTCAAAGCTATTCTATAAAGGTGTGAGCCAGCCGTGGGAGGGAGAAATGGGTGGGGAAAACAGGTGGGCGGGGTGTCTTGCTCATCTGAGGACAGTGGCTCTCCAGGGCCTAGGAGGTGAGTGGTCCTCACCAGGCCGAGGACTCTGGTTGAAACCATCATCTGGGCCCTGCTGGGGTCTGGACTGCGTGGGAACGATGAGTTATATACCACAGCAACTTGGGAGTCTGGAGACAATATCACTGTTTATTTGGGTGACACATCTGCCTGCCTGAGGGCTCTGACAAGAGGCTTAGTGGTTGAAGGTCCCCCAGATTATACTTTTCCCCTTGCTGGCTCTGCAGAGGCCCCAGACTCCGAGTGCAGGCCTGTGGAGCTGTGGCTCTGTTACATTTCTCTTGGCCTCAGTGTCCTGGGAGCAGCTGCCTCGTGGCTGAAACCTCCTTTTCAGAGATCCCAGGGCGGTGGCAGCCTCACTTCTTGAAGTTCTCTCTCTGGAGCGACAAGGAGTACCTCTGAAGCCGGGCCCAGTGCTCCTCCTCCTTCTCTGGGTTCTTCTCCAGCTTCCGATAGCTGAGGGCCACACAACTGTGATGAGAGGAATCTCCTCTCACTTCCCCAGCTCCCGAGCCCCCAGGGCAGACCTCGACTACCCTGTGCTCCTATGAGAAACTCTAAGAGGACACACCTGCATCGCCTCTGTGTCCTCAGGGCTCAGCCTGGTACACAGCAGGTGCTCAGAAGGCCTTTCCTGGAGGAATGATGGGTCTAGCATTCTTACCTGTGAGGTGCATGTGGGTAGACAGGATGGCGAGCTGAGGAACTAAAAGGCTATTTGCAAACAAGCTGTGGTATTACACACAACGGAACATTCAGACTGAAAAGGAAGATGTTCTGACACATGCTCCACCATGGATGACTATTGAGGACATTACGCTGACTGAAATATGCCAGTCACAAAAAGACACACTGTATGATTCCAACTTTTATAAAGACAGTTTGAGTTGGGTCTTTTAAAAAGTAAGAGTTGTTGGCCAGGCGCGGTGGCTCACGCCTGTAATCCCAGCACTTTGGGAGGCCAAGGCAGGCGGATCACCTGAGGTTGGGAGTTTGAGACTAGCCTGGCCAACCTGGAGAAACCCCGTCTCTACTAAAAATACAAAACTTGCCAGGCGTGGTGGCACGTGCCTGTAATGCCAGCTACTCAGGAGGCTGAGGCAGGAGAATCGCTTGAATCTGGGAGATGGAGGTTGCAGTGAGCCAAGATAGCACCATTGCACTCCAGCCTGGGCAACAAGAGCAAAATTCCATCTCAAAAGAAAAAAAAAGTAAGAGTTGTTTAAAAAAAAATAATAAGTGCATGTTCACTACAGAAAAATCAGAGAAGCCCAAGATTCACCCCTCAGAGTGCACACAGAGACGGGCACGCTTAGCAGGGTGGAGGGGGGGCTGTCAGTGGGGTTGTGGTAGGGAAGGAGGTGCAAGTGAATGATGTTAAAATGCTTAGGCAAACAGGAAGAGGAGTACTCTGGGGGAGAAAGACAATGACCATAGCTTTGATTTGTTTTGAGGCTCTCCATCTATGTGGAGATAAGATTTTAATTAATTTAATTAATTAATTTTTTATTTATAGATGTAGATGTAGAGATGGGGTCTCACTATGTTGCTCAGGCTAATCTTGAACTCCTGGCGTCAAGTGATCCTCCATCTCTGTCTCCCAAACTGCTGGGATTACAGGCGTGAGCCACAGCACCTGGCTGGTAATGTCCAACTTTTCACAAAAATGGTGAATGCTATCTTAAAAATGTATTGGAGGCCGGGTGTGATGGCTCATGCCTGTAATCCCAGCACTTTGGGAGGCCAAGGCGGGTGGATCACAAGGTCAAGAGATCGATACCATCCTGGCCAACATGGTGAAACCCCGTCTCTACTAAAAAATACAAAAATTAGCTGGGCATGGTGGCATGTGCCTGTAGTCCCAGCTACTTGGGAGGCTGAGGCAGGAGAATCACTTGAACCTGGGAGGCAGAGGTTGCAGTGAGCTGAGATTGTGCCACTGCACTCCAGCCTGGCGACAGAGCGAGACTCCATCTCAAAAAAAAAAAGTATTGGAGATAGGTTTTATATTTAGATTTATATAACCGGTTATATGAATATATTTAAACACTGGAGAAATTCCTTCACTGTCTCAGAACCAAGCAAGATGCACCATATTTTGTGTTGATTTGCCTCTTAAAGGAAAGGGCTGAAGGTAAAGTAGCAATGTGTACTTTATATTTTTGACCTTAACTCTGCCAATCTAAGTAGAATTCCCTGTATCTGTAATGGTTTCTTTTAGGCTGAGAATGGTGGCTCACACTGATAGTCCCAGAAATTTGTAAGGCCCAGGTGGGAGGGTCACTTGAGCCTAAGAGTTCAAGACCAGCCTGGGCAACATAGGGAGACCCTGCTTCCACAGATAATAAAAAAATTAGCTGGGTGTGGTGGCGCATGCCTGTGGCCCCAGTTGCTCGGAAGGCTGAGGCAGGATTGCCTGAGCCCGGGAAGTCAAGGCTGCAGTGAGCTGTGATTGCACCACTGCACTCCAGCCTGGATGACCCTGTCTCAAAAAATAGACAAAATAAAAATAAAATAAAATCCCTTTTACTTATTGAAAGAGATTCTGGTGTGATTTATGTGTAATAGCAAATAAAGAATATTTAACACTTATTTATTTATTTTTTTTGAGACAGATTCTTGCTCTGTCGCCCAGGCTGGAGTGCAATGGCATGATCTCAGCTTACTGTAACCTCCACCTCCTGAGTTCAAGCAATTCTCCTACCTCAGCCTCCTGAGTAGCTGGGATTATAGGCACCTGCCACCGTGCCCGGTTAATTTTTGTACTTTTAGTAGAGACGGGGTTTCACCATTTTGGCCAGCCTGGTCTCGAACGCCTGGCCTTAGGTGATCCACCCGCCTTGGCCTCCCAAAGTGCTGGGATTACAGGTGTGAGCCACCGCGCCCGGCCAATTTAACACTTTTTAAAAAAGTAATCTATACATTTGCAGCTTTTAAATAAAATCAGGCCAGGCGTGGTGGCTCATGTCTGTAATCCCACCACTTTGGCAGGCCGAGGCAGGCAGATAATCTGAGGTCAGTAGTTCGAGACCAGCCTGGCCAACATGGAGAAACCCCATCTCTACTAAAAATACAAAAATTAGCCGGGCGTGGTGGCGCATGCCTGTAATCCCAGCTACTGGGGAGGCTGAGGCAGGAGAATCGCTTGAACCCGGGAGGCAGAGGTTGCAGTGAGCCGAGATCGCGCCAGTGCACTTCAGCCTGGGTGATAAGAGTGAAACTCTGTTTCAAAAACAAAAACAAAAACAAAAAACAAAAACCCTCCCTGTGAAGAATAGTTGAACATTCTTGGTAGACCTTTAGAGAGGGCCAATGTCAACCATCGCCTTCTTCATTGCCTCTCTCTCCCCAGAGACTCATGAGACCATATTCGTCTCCTGACGAATAGGCACATTTCCCTCCGGGAGGTACCGAGAGCCTCCCAGCGACCCACTACAATGCAGGAAGGACTTGAACGCCCCTGTTAAGTGCAGGTATGAGCTAGGAAGCGGAGAGGAGCTATGGTGCCACCTAGTGGTAATGTTTAGAATTTTCCCAGGCATGAACTTGGATTAGCAGGGAGCCATCATCATGGTCATAACTACCATTTACTGAGCAACCACTCTGTGCCTGGTACTTTCCATGTATCATCCCACTTAATACCTTAAGCCAAAAAAAATCAGGCATCATTAAAATGGTCAGAACACAGCCTGGCATCTCACAGGTGCACAATATGTGTTTTTTGACTGAATGAGGAGGCTGAGTAACTCGCCCAAGGTCTCATTGTAAGTGGTAGTGTCAGAATCAAACTCAGGTCTGTTTGGCTCCAGACCTGCATATCTTAACCAGTCTACTTCAATCTTCCCTGAGTAAACAGTCTACACAGAGAAAGGGGGAAATAGTCGTGAAGTGACTCTTCCCTGAGTAAAGAGTCTACACAGAGAAAGGGGGAGACAGTCGTGAAGAGACATTATGGTGATTGGAGAGATCACAGAATCTCAGAGGTCACGTTACATACATAGGAACATCTAGGCACTGGAAGGAAAGGAACCTGCCAGAGCCACCTAGTTCTGTAGTGGCAGGCCCGGGACGAGGATCCAGGACTCCACTGATGACCCCAGTCCACCCGAAATGTGTGGTCAGATCCCAAAAGGAATCATCAACAAGGATTTGCAAATCCCCAGAAATTTATTGTGAGATGGATTAGAAGAGACACCTATTTCTCCAGAATGGCCTGAGTACTGTTCCTTATGCTTTGATAGCAGAAAGGAGGGCAAGAAAACAGTGCTTGCAGGATTAGGGAGAGTGGAAAGAGGAAGGGGAAGAGGAGAAACACACACATAACGGTTTATCTGAATGATGGGTAAAAGAAAGGGGTCTTAGATCATGGGTTGGCAAACATTTTCTGTAAAGGCCCAGAATGTAAATAATTTAGACTTTATAGGTCATGCTGTCTCCTTCGCAGCCTTCAATCCTGCCATAGCATACAGTAGCCATAGATAATACATAAACAAATGGGCACGGCTGTGTTCAAATAAAACCTTATTTACAAAACCAGGCAGTGGACTGGATATGGCCCACAGGTCATAGTTTGCCAACCCCATCTTAAGGATTGTGTCTAATAATCCAAACATACTTTTTTTTTTTTTTTTTGAGGCAGGGTCTGACTCTGTCACCCAGGCTGGAGTGCAATGGCACGATCTTGGCTCACTGCATCCTCTGCCTCCCAGGTTCAAGCAATTCTCCCCCACCTCAGCCTCCAGAGTAGCTGGGACAAAAGGCATGTGCTACCACACCCAGCTAATTTTGTGTTTTTTGTAGAGATGGGGTTTCGCCATGTTGGCCAGGCTGGTCTCAAACTCCTGAGCTCAAGCAATCTGCCCACCTCGGCCTCCCAAAGTGCTGGGATTACAGGCATGAGCCACCGGGCCTGGCCTAAACATACTTTTAAGAGGGAATTGAGAAAGTTAAAAAGATGATCTTGACAGGAAGAAAACACCAACTGGAAGCCCTTCTTTTCTCCCAGCCTGAATTAATGACTCTTTTTCTACCAATCCACATGTGAGGTGGAGTGCAGCTCATGGGCTATCATGGGGTAGAACCCTTCACTTAGGGGAAATTTCTTTTTTTTTTTTTTTTTTTGGGACAGAGTCTTGCTCTGTCACCTAGGCTGGAGTGCAGTGGTGCGATCTTGGCTCACTGCAACCTCTGCCTCCCAGGTTTAAGCAATTCTCCTGCCTCAGCCTCCCGAGTAGCTGGGATTACAGGCATGTACCACCACACCCAGCTAATTTCTGTATTTTTAATAGAGACGGGGTTTCACCATGTTGACCAGGCTGGTCTTGAACTCCTCACCTCAGGTGATCCGCCTGCCTCGGACTCCCAAAGTGCTGGGATTACAGGCGTGAGCCACCACGCCCAGCCAGGGGAAATTTCAATGCTGAAAGGATTTACCATGAAAGAAACTCCACTATCCCTCAATCCAGAGACAACCTCAGATGTGGGAGGGGGTGAAGACACAGAGCTCTTTACCTCTTCTGGAGGAAACGCTCACATCTCTTCTCCAGTGGCAGTGCTTGGGGGAAGGCCATGTTATCCAAGTCCCTTTGAGGAATGGTACAATTTTTTGAGATATTTTCCAGGAGTGGGCAGGCCTCAAAATTAAAATAGAAAACAGAATATTGGATTCCAGCATCGTCGGTGGACGCAGTTTCATGTGAATAGTCTCCTGTGACGAGACAAGAACACCATGTTCTGTGTAACAATCGCTTTCTCAGTGGGCTCTGTGGTCCAGGTGAGCAGGTGGGGGCTGCTCTCTGCTTATAAAGGCTGGGTCATCTGGGTTGAGCTGTGACTTCAGAGAGAAGACCCTGCTGGCATTTTATCTAAGTGCCCTGTGAGGACTGAGCTGCGGTACCCTTTGGCCTATGGTAGAGGGGGACACAGAGTGGGGAGGAGATCGGAGGGGCTCTCTCTGTTTGTGAGAGAACTAAGTCAGGGAAATGGTCAGTGGGCATCAGCCCTGGTCCCTTTCTGTACCTCGGAGCAGGAAACATGGATGGTCTGGAGACACAGCAAACACTGGCTTCCAGGGGACCTCCAGAGGAAAGGCTCCCGGAGGGGCAAAGGCACAGATGATTTCACGCTTGGCCACATCCATAAGGCACACAGAGCCATTCTTGGAAAAGATGAGCACCTGGGAAGCAAAGAGATGGTGAGGGGGGCTTCTACTGGACTCTGTCCCTCACAGGAAGGTCGTGTAGAGGTCACCCCAGTAAGGAATGAGAGAAGCAGCTGGACATAAAACCTCTTGGGCCCCAGCCTCTGGATCCATCCAGGGCTGCTGGAGACCTGCACACACATGTGTGCTTGGGGTCCCCCTCAGCCAACAGACCCTCCTCCACATGCTGTCTGCTCCAGGGCTATGCATTCCTCCCCTTTTTCCCAGCCTCTCTTCCAAGTTCTCTGCTTCTCTGCTGAAGAGCTCACCCTCCATGTAGCCAAGATTCCATTTCTCACCTGTGCTCCCAATGCCTTTCCTTCCCACTGCCTCAGGGACCTTGCTCAATCTAACAGCCCCTCCTGGCCTGAGATCTGAGCTGGGGATGCTCTCTTGCCTGGGCTCTTTCCTCTGCAGTGAACATACTAAACTCTCCCCATCCTTAGAAAGTCCCCTTTGGCCGGGCGCGATGGCTCATGCCTGTAATCCCAGCACTTTGGGAGGCCAAGGTGGGCGGATCACGAGGTCAGGAGATCGAGACCATCCTGGCTAACACGGTGAAACCTCGTCTCTACTAAAAATACAAAAAATTAGCCTGGCGTGCTAGCGGGCACCTGTAGTCCCAGCTACTCGGGAGGCTGAGGCAGGAGAATGGTGTGAACCCGGGAGGCAGAGCTTGCAGTGAGCCAAGATTGCACCACTGCACTCCAGCCTGGGCGGCAGAGCGAGACTCCGTTTCAAAAAAAAAAAAAAAAGCCCCCTTTGACCCAACAGCCTCCTCCAGCTGCCACACCACTTTCCCCTCCCCACACAAGAGGGTCTCTCCACACCCTGTCCACTCCCCCACCTCCTGCGTCTGTCTCCCAGCTTCAGCCACTCGTCTCCACCATGTTCTTGGTTTTTCTGCAGCACAGGACACTGCTCTCACTTTCTTTAGACTCTCCTCTCTGCTTGCAGGACTGTCCCCATGCAGTTTTCCCTGGGGCCCCTCACGGTCACTTTGTGAACTGATTTTCCAGGTCCTGTAAGTGATGGTAGTGCCCATGGGAACCTCTTCTCTATTCACTCCCTCTCTTTAACAAGGGGAACCTGCTGTACGCCCCACTTCAACCACCTCTCACTAACTGTACCTGGCTGGTGAGCATGGAATCTACATTTTCAGCCCTTGGCTCTCTTGGAGCCTCCCCTGGGGGTCCTGTAGGCCCCTCACCCTCCGTAGGGCCACACCAGGAATCACAGACTTTCTCTCCAGGCCTGAAGTGGGCCCTGTAAGGACTGGGGAATCACCTCTGCAAGCGAGGATCAACCGCGCACGCTTCCCTCTCCTTTGGCAACAGCCACAGGTAGTGAAGAATGTGGAGTCCATCGCCGAACTGAGATCTCTCAACTCTCCATCCCTGCTCTAAATATGCTGTTCCCATTCTCTGACCTCTCTGTTTGAGCCCCATCCCACACAGGGACACATCTGTATCCTTCTGCGCAGTGTACAGGACCTTCCATGGTCTGGCCCACCTGTCTTCCCGCCCCAGCCTCCTCCCTCTCCACATTCCACAGCAATCTCATGTGGCAGATACTGGGACTTCCTGCAGTGCCCGGGACACGTGGTGCTCTCTTGCCTCCATGGTGTTGCCTTCTCAACTCCTCTGGCTCAGCTCAGCTGTCACCTCCTCCAGAAAACACAGTCCTCCCCTGCTGCCAACTTCTGCAGGTTGAGTTAGGTGACCCTCTCTCTGTTCCATGCATCCATTAAAAAATCCCTATCACAGCCTTTCTCATGTTCTAAGGCAGCTGCCTGGTGACTTCTCTGTCTTCCCAAATGAGCTGTGTGCTCCATGAAGGCAGGTTCTTTCTCTTTCTATTTGTAAACCCGAAAGCTAGTCCAGTGCCTAACACATAACAGGCCTTCAATAAGCATTTTCTAAAGGACAGATGAACACATTCACAGAAGAGAAATGAGAGGCATGGGGCATTTACAGAGAGGCATGGGGAACCTACCATGCCAGGTAAGGCTGGGACTGGGGCCACGGCACAGATGGTTTTATCCAGGTGCTTTACAGGCCTATAGGACAGAAAATATACAGACATTCTCCTACTTTAAGAGTTTAAAAGTTTTGATATCCTCTTCTAGGCATATATCCTGGAGAAATTCAGAGAAATCAAGAAATATGTGAGGAGGCTGTTCATAGTAGCAAAAAATTAAGAACAATCCAAATATCTATTAGGAGGATGCTTAAGTCATTGTGGTATCTTATACAATGAAATATAATATGGTAATGAAAATAAAAGAACTGGAGCTACATGCATCAACATGTATGGCTCTTGTGAACAATGTTGCAAAGCAAGATGCAGAATAAATACCATTGAAAAACAAGTTGGAGGCTGGGTGCAGTGGCTCACACCTGTAATCCCAGCACTTTGGGGGCCCAGCACTTTGAGCCCAGGAGTTCAAGACCAGCCTGGGCTACAGAGTGAGACCGTGTCTCAAACAAAACCAAACAAAACAGAAAGAAAGAAAGGAAAGAAGGATGCACGGAAGGAAAGAAGGAAGGAAGGAAGGAAGGAGGGACGGAGGGAAGGAAGGAAGGAAGACAAGTTGGAGAATATATAGAATATGGTTTGCTTTGTAAGTTTCCTAAATATGCATAGCTAAATAATATACTGTTTAGAGATACAGTCATACAAATGTGGTTAATTCTTTTTCTTTTTTTAATAATTTTTGTTCTTTTCACAGAGAAGGGGTCTCACTATGTTACCCAGGCTGGTCTTGAACTCCTGAGCTCAAGTGGTCCACCCGCCTTGGCCTCCCAAAGTGCTTGGATTACAGGTGTGACCCTCTGTACCTGGCCTAAATGTGGTTAATTCTTAAGGGAAAGCAAAGGAATGATGAATTTAGAAAAATGGTGTGGTAGATTGAAAAGCAGTTGGCTGTATTTGGCAGTGACTCCCATCAAAAGATGGAGTCTGTTTTTCTACTGCTTGAATGTGGGCATGGATGTGGGATGTGCTTTGCCCAATGGGACATTAGCAAATGTAACATGAGCAGAAGCTTGAAAAGCATTTGTGTGCTATGGTTGCCCTCTCCTGCTGCTAGGAGCCCTTAGACTACCATGTGAGAAAGGCTGTACTAGTCTGCAGGAGAGACCATGAGGAAAACCGAGGTGCACTGGCCAATAACCTGCCAACTGCCAGGTGTGTGAGTGAAGCTATCTTAGAAGAGCTGTGAGCTGCCTGAAGGCACATTTGAGAGCCCAGGTGAGACCAGTAGAAGAAACGGACTGAGTCCAGTCCAAATTGCTGACCTACAGACTCAAGGACTAAACACTGACTATTTTCTTAAACCATTAAGTTTTGGGGTGGTTTGTTATTTAGCATTAGGTAATTAATAAGGTGTTTGGGGCGGAGCAAGAAGGATTGATGAGGGAGAGCCATGCAGGGAGCCCAAATGGAACTGGAGATTATCGATTTCCAACGGTTTCAGGGGAGTTGATCTCATTATTCTTTATTACACACACACACGTACACACATGCGCGCGCGCACACACACACACACACACATTATACAGGTTCATTTGCATGCATTAGGTATTTTTAAATGTTTAAAAGAGAGAGAGATCCCTGGAGAAACTGATGGAAGTTTACTGTGGGAGAAATGAGCCTCTTCTTGGCCGTATGGGATGGGAAGGATGTTGTCTTAATCCATTTTCTGTTGCTTATAACAGAATACCTGAAACTGGATAATGTATAAAGCAAAGGAATTTATTTCTTACAGTTCTGGAGGCTGAGAAGTCCAAGGTCAAGGGTCCACAGCTAGTGAGAGCCTTCTTGCTGGTGGGGACTCTCTAGAGAGTCCCGAGACGGCATAGGGTGTGACATGGTGAGGGAATTGAGTGTGCTCATGTTCTAGCTCAGGTATCTCTTCCTTTTCTTATAAAGCCACTATTTCCACTCCCATGATACCCATTAATCCATTCACCTATTAATCCATTAATGCATGAGTGGGTTAATCCATTCATGTGGGAAGAGCCTTCATGATCCAATCATCTCCTAAAGGCCCCATCTCACAGTACTGCCACAATGGGGATTGAGTTTTCACATGGGTTTTGGAGGGGAGAGTCAAACCATAGCAGATGTCATCTGTGCTATCATACAATTTTGTTAGAAAAAATTGTAACATATATGTGACATTGGTGATCTTCAGAAGCTCACCAGGAGAGTGATGACTATACAAAAGGTGGACTGTAGTCAGAGAGGCTGTCAGATTTTACTATCAAATAGCAATTAAAATAATCTGGCCAATTATTTACCCCGTCCCACCCTCAAGCTACTGACCTCTCAACAAGCACACTGATGGTGGGTCCTTGGGTCCCGCTAGCCTCCACCAGATGGAGGGAGGCGTCTGTGCACAGCACCACACATTTCATTTGGGATTTCACTTGACCTTCAGGATACATATTCTGTCCTTTGTGGACCGAGAAATATTTTAGGAAGTGAATGCTTTGGCAGAAACATCCCTGAGGAAGAGCAGCGACCCCAAGAGGGAATCCTAGAGAAAGTAATCACACAAGCCGGTCAGAAAACGGGGTAGGGGAGGAGGCCATGGGCACAGGGGCTGTGACCAGCAAGTGTGTGAGGGACTTGTAGGATGTGAAGGCAAAATCAAGCAATGAGCACCCTGTGAGAGAAAATCAGTAAACCTAGTGCCCAATGGGAGAGAAAAGCCCCCTGCAGGGGAATGCTGCTGTGTCTGGAGAGGAATTGGGGAGGGGGAGAAGCAAGAGCATGGAGGAGGGCAGGGTCAGCACTGGAGTGGAAGGAAGCTACAACCCAGCCAGGGACTGAGGCGCAGCTGACCATGGGATGCAAAGGCGTATGGGCAGGGGGAGGCACAGCTGTTTCAGAAAAGGCGGTGTGTGTGTGTGTGTGTGTGTGTGTGGCCAAACAACAAGAACTTAATATCCAGAAAAAAATGAAAACAAGCTATTTTGGTCAAGGGCTTATGAAATCATCATCATTCTTCTTTCCTTGAAATATCTTTTGCTTCTATAATAATGCTGTTGGTTCAATAAGTAAAATAAAGGAGGGTCTTTAGTGGTGTTTATCTTAGCAGTGTGTGGGGAAAATATCCTCCAAAGTTGAAATAACCACTGCATTCTTCAGAAAGTGATAGCCAAGTGAGGAAGGCAATTTGCTAGCTTGACAGACACCTCCCTGAGAACAGTCAACTCCCTGGTCTGATCACAAGCTACCCAACAAACAGGGTACTATCTCTGATGCTCTGCACCTGCCAGGAGGGCTGCCCAGTGAAGGTGGCCCACCTCCACTCTCTAGGTAAATACATCTCCAACTGCAAAATGGCAAACCACTGAGTCATTACTGGCCTTTAACAAAGTCCGGTTAGAGGGAGCTGCTTCTCTAGAGGCTGACGAATTTAGGAAGCAATATCATTGATTTCTGTATCTGCAAAGCTGGACCCAGGACCCTAGAACTCAACCACAGTGCCACCCACCCAGAATAGCTGCTGGTCTCACTTTGACTGCTTTATAGGTCTCTTAGCTCTAATACAATAGAGTTTGCGCTGACTGGGGATGAGACAGAATAGCAGGGAAGAAGACTCACTTATTTAGAGAGCTTGGGGGCTGGGAAGAGGAAGGCTGAGGCCACCATGATCACTTGTACTGTGCCAGACATACTTCTTCACTGGAGTGTAATAATGAAGGCAATGATCATACTTCCAGAGCCTAGTACAGTGCCAGGCTCAGAGAAGTCACTCAATAAACACATGGGCAGTGGGAAGCATTAGCACATATTATATCCAATAAATGTTTGTTGAATAAATGAATGAGAGGGGAGTAGGACCAGTTCCCCAAGGTGACTTTAAGAACACAGAGGTAACAGAAGGCCCAGGGCCTGTGGGAATTCCAGAGCTCCCAGACTCATTGCCCAGAGTCCCACCCAGGTACTAGGTAGAGAGGCAGGGAGGACTTACCTTTGGCCAGGTCCCACAGCGTGAGCACACCATCCTCGCAGGCCAGCACCAGGTAGGAGGAGGAGCAGCTGAGCTGAGAGACTGCAATGGGCGCAGCACAGGGCCACACACCCTCGGGGTCTAGGGGGAAGGACAATACTCAACCGGTTCCCCCAGACTCTGCACCTACCCATCACTTCTACCTGGACAACCTGTGACTCAGACTGGTCTGCCTGTTCAGGGAATGGGAACCAGGAGCACCTGTCTGGACTCACCATCATCCTTCTCTTTATGAAGTGCTATTCTCCTTGCCTAGGATGATAAGATAATGTCACACTGTTTATTATTACTCTACAGCTAATGTTTAATGAGTATGTCCTAGGTGCTAGATACTGTGTTAGGCACTTTACACACATAATTTCATTGCATTCTCACAAGGGTTCTATAAAGTAGTCTTATTAGTATCCCCATTTTATAGATGAGGCAGAGAAGTGACTTGCTCAAGGCCATACAGTCAGTATAGAAGGAGATTAGAAGCCAGGTTGCCTGGGAAAGGGACGGAAGAAAAGAAACTCCTCCTTTGTGAATTTTTTAATGTTACTTTTGAAGTGTAATATAAAGTATAACAAGTGTACAGTTCAAGGAATTATCACAAAGCAAACTTGCTCATGTGACTGCTTCCATTAATTTTTTTTTTTTTGAGACAGGGCCTCACTGTCACCCAGGCTGGAGTGCAGTGGTGCAACCTTGGCTCACTGCAGCCTCAAACTCCTGGGCTCAAGTGATCCTCCTGGCCCAGCCTCCTGAGTAGTTGGGACTACAGGCTCATGCTGCCACGCTTGGCTATTTTTTGTAGAAACAGGGTCTCCTATGTTGCCCAGACTGGTTTCAAACTCCTGGGCTCAAGAGATCCACCTGCCTCTGCCTCCCAAAGTACTGGGATTACAGGCATGAGCCACCACACCTGGTCACCTCCATAAATTTGTAAAACAACAACAACCTATATTTCCTTAGTGCGTTTCAATTTCGAAGAGCTTCACATACAGAAACTCTCTGGATTTTGCTATTTTCAACAAACGCATGCACTAGACAACAATGGTGTAATTAATTAGCTCTATGTTCTGCATGAAAAGTGGGTTGGGGTGTGAAGCGACTGGCCTGAGACTACATGGTTTGCAGACAGCTGGGCTAGGATTAGCACTGACCTTCTGATTCCAAGCCTACTTTCTCAATCTCTCTCTTTTTTTTTTTTTTTTTTTTTGAGATAGTCTTGCTCTGTCACCCAGGCTGGAGTGCAGTGGTGTGATCTTGGCTCACTGCAACCTCTGCCTCCCAGGTTCATGTGATTCTCCTGCCTCAGACTCCCAAGTAGCTGAGATTACAGGCGCATGCCACCATATCCGGCTAATTTTTGTATTTTTAGTAGAGATGGGGTTTCACCATGTTGGCCAGGCTGGTCTTGAACTCCTGACCTCAGGTGATCCACTCGCCTCGGCCTCCCAAAGTGCTGGGATTATAGGCGTGAGCCATTGCGCCCAGCCAAGCTTACTCTCTTTTTACCTTAGCTGCTTAAGGAGCCCTGTGGACCTGACTGTAGACTTTGTCCCTATTGACCTGTTGTCTTTAAGGAACATGACATTTCAGAGACAGATTCTTGCGGTCACACTACACCCACCAAACCCCCTACTGCCTGCCTAGATCTGGTCCCTAAAGTGACACTTGATGTATGTCAGTCACATGCTCTTAGCTAAGCTGGAGAAGGACATGTCTGCAAGTCCTGAGCTTAGGCGACTCCCATCTCAGCAGTAAAGTACCAGCTTTATCCTTTAGAGTTCGGTTTAGTGAATACAGGAAGAAATTGTGACTTCTGGTCCAGTGTATACCAAGGACACAGGCCATTCCTGGTGGGGGGGCGGGGGAAAGACAGAAAATGGGTGTTACACAGGGGGAAATCTGGGTGGCCTTTGGTTTGCACAGAAGGTGTTTGCCCAAGAGAAGCTGGTTTGAAGTCTGAAGTGGTTTGTTTTAATGGGCAGCACCCAAGAGAAGGGTGAGTTTCCCAAGAGAGAGGGACTGGGCAGCCCCATGAGGGCTGTTCCTGGGGCCCACCCGCCTTCTTGCATAGGGAGGACAGTCTCAACTCCCCCTCGGCTGCTTTCACATCTAGAAAATTCACACCCTCAGTGTTTTAAGTAACATCTTCTACAAGACAAACTCATATCCAGAAGCAGCCCGGTGGATGTGGGCTCATGCCTTCTCCTATGGCAACCACTCCCTGAAGGCAGTGCCAGCCTTTGTGATCAGAGAACCTGTGCTCAGGGGCCACAGATGCAAGCAGAAACTGACAGGCTACAGCTGGCAACCAAACTCCCCTCTTCATTCCCTCCTACCATGCGAGGTTTGTTGGGGAACATCTCTGTGGGGGCTTGCTGAGGGGTTTCCCCAAGGTGACTCCTTGCTAGGACAACCACCCACTTCATGTTCATTTACCTGAGGGGCCCTTGACTTCCGGTGGCATTGCAAATAGGCAGCTAGGAAGAAGGAAATAGAAGGTGGCCGTACTGGGAAAGAAAGACACACGAGTCAGAGCCATGTAGACTCCCTGGCAAGGAGAGCTGCTGGCAGAGTCTTGGTCCTAAAACCAGAATAGATAGTTAGAATGGACCTTCCCAGGGGTAAGAAGGCCATGAAGCACATCACATTCTAGGTGCTGGTCCTGGTGGGATGCGCTGACCTTGGATGCTGGTGAGGGCAGGTTGGGTGGGGCTGGGAATCACTCCTAGGCCAGTGTGGTGTGCAGAGCTCTTGCCAGAGACAGCTGTCTTTTGGAGAGCCACTTCTGTTTTGGGGAAGATGTCCTTAAAGAGCAGACTCGGGTGATCTACATAGATGTTCTCTTATCCCAGGGGCAATACAGCCAGTGTTGTGCTGATAACTGGGTCTCTTAAATAAAAGAGGCCCCAATTTATAGGGTTTGCAGATTTTCATGGTGTCAATGCTCCCACAATGGACAACTAACAGTGGTTTAACAACTGGCTTGCAAAACCCTAATTATCTCACTATGCAGTAGGAGCCAGCCCCAGCATACCACTGAATCTTGACGTAGTTCCAGACAGTAACAGGAAGCTGTTGTCAGGGATTAGCCTTAGGACTTTGTGTCCTGAAGTAAGAAAATTTAAGGTCCACTTGACAGCACGAGAGATTTCACTTCCCATGTGAGAACAAGAACATTCCTGAGATCCACAGTAGCTATGAGGAGACCTAATTCCTAAAACCAGCTCCCTCATTGATACTTCAAAGACTGGGGCTCTCCAACACAACTTGGAGCTAATGACACCTAACTGCTCACCAAGATGGGAAAGTCATATATTATAATAATTATACACCTATGCTACATTACATTTAGAAAGGCAGGAAGGAAATGGAGAAAAATTTTAGTAGTGGTGACTTTATTTGTCTTTAGGATCTTCTGTGTTTTTTATTATTTTTTTTAATTATTATTTTTTGAGACAGAGTCTATCTCTGTCCAAGCTACAGTGCAGTGGCGTGATCTCGCCTCACTGCAGCCTCCATCTCCTGGGTTCCAGTGATTCTCCTGCCTCAGCCTCCTAAGTAGCTGGAATTACAGGTGCCCGCCACCATGCCCGGCTAATTGTTGTATTTTTAGTAGAGTCGGTTTCACCGTGTTGACCAGGCTGGTCTCAAACTCCTGGCCTCAGGTAATCTGCATGCCTCAGACTCTCAAAGTGCTGGGATTACAGGCCTGAGCCACCGTGCCCAGCCTCTGTGCTTTTAGATAACTAGAAAAAAAAATTTAAAAAGAAAAAAAAATTTTTAGAGCTGTCATGTATAAAACTGAAATAAATTATATTTCTCATTTCCATAGATATCTATTTCTTCTTTTAACTCCATTATTATCAGCCTTTGTTCTAACTATATAGTAACAATCTCCACACAACATTTCAAAATATCTGCTGATGTTCGCTCAAAATTCTCCCAAACCAGAAAGAGCTTATTTATTTTAGAGATAAGGTCTCGACATGTGGCCCAGGCTGGTCTCAGATTTGGGGGCTCAAATGATCCTCCTGCCTCGGCCTCCCAAAGTGTAGGGATTACAGATGTGGGCCACTGTCCCGGCCCCAGAAAGAGCTTTTAAATCTCAGATTAATTCAGGTCCCTGGGTTGATTCCTGCATGTGCCAAGACAGCAGAAGCCTGGGGATGCTCCCTGGCTTTCCCGGGATTAGGAGGCTCACCTGAGTGGCTCTTCCTCCCACTCCCTATCTAGGTACTTCTTGTAGGAAGCGTTGAAGATCTCAGCTTGCTGCTCCCACTGACTGTCCTTGATGAAATGATTCTGCCCGGAGCCCAGTCCGTAGCAGTCCTTGATCTTTGCAAAGACTTCCAGGGGGCTTTTGAATGTGGTGCCTAGGTTGAAAATATTACAGAATTAGTCAAGCCATGTGACTCCCCCTTTCCTGATTTTCCCCTACTTCTTCCACTCTTCCCAGCTTCCTGCAGAATCCCTCAGCCTCAGAAATCGATTCTTGCTCTGCAATTGGTCTGTATTCAGTCTTCTCCCGGCCTCTCCTGTACCCCACCAGCTCACAGAGCCCAGGCAGAGAGCAGCTGCTGTCCTCCTTCTTCTGTATCTTCATCCCAACATCATTCTCTCTGCTTTTGGATTACAGAATATTTGCAAAGGCCAGGGTGTGGGGGGCGGTGGGGCAGGGAAATGTTCACAATGCCACTGGAGACTTTAGATCACTGTCCCTGTCTCCCCAGCTGAGGAAGGCCCCAGATCTGCCAGTTACCATCACTTTTCAGCCACTGCTGAACACTCACATAATTAGGCAGTCTCAGTCTCTTCTTATGCCAACATTTACCCAATTACCTTCCTTTAAAAAAATCTTTCTCTGTCAGTCACTTTTCTTACTACTTCTCTTCCCAATAACCTTTCATTTCCTTCTTTTTCATCTGTTCCTAAATCCACAGTAAAACTGGATGACTAGTTTTCTGGATTTGCACCCTGAGTTTCAGAATTCTGTTCACTTTGGAAGGTACCTGCGTCCCTCAAGTTGCCCAGGAGATTCCACAGTGCCCTTGACTGCTTCCTCAGAGACAACTGCATAATTTTCTAGAGGCAGACACCAGTTTTATAAACACATAATATCGTATGATACACTAGCTCTCAAAGGACGATGCCAGATCAGCAGTGGCAGAGTCACCTGGGAACTTGTTAAAAATACAGATTCTCAGGGCCCACCCCAGACCTACTGGAATAGAAGAAACTCTGTGGTGGGGCCCAGCAATCTGGGTTGTTTTTTGAGATGGGGGTTGTGTTCTATTGCCCAGGCTAGGCTTGAACTCCTTGGTTCAAGCAATCCTTCCATCTCAGCTTCTTGAGTAGCTGGCACTATAGGCAAACAATCTGGGTTTTAATGAGTTCTCCAAATGAGTCTGATGCAGCTAAAGTTTGAGAATTGCTATTATACATTATTCCCCTTGTATTTTCACTTACTAAAATGTTTTAGAGATTATTTCATATTAGTACTATAGATCCTCTTCATTGTTGCTTATCTTTAGTTATTAAACCTTTTTCTTATTGTGAAGTGTAACATACATTCTGAAAAGAGCATAAAATATATACCTTAATATACCTTAATGAGTTATTATAAAGCAAACCTCTGGTATCATCTACTCAGGTCAAGAAATAGAACATCGGCTGGGTGCGGTAGCTCATGCCTATAATCCCAGCACTTTGGAAGGCCAAGGCAGGAGGATCGCTTGAGCCCCGGAGTTTGAGACCAGCCAGGCAACATGGCAAAATCCCATCTCTACAAAAAATACAAAAATTAGCCAGGCCTGATGGCATGTTCCTGTAGTCCCAGCTACTTGGGAGGCTGAGGTGGGAGGATTGCTTGGGAAGCAGAGGTCACAGTGAGTCGAGATTGTGCCACTGCACTCCAGCCTGGGCGACAGAGGGAGACCCTGTCTCAAAAAGAAAAAAAAAAGAAAAGAAAAAAGAAAAAAAAAAAGAAATAGAACATTGCCATCTCACTAGAAGCTTCCCAGGGGCCCCTTTCTAATCACAATTCTCTGGGAAGAGTGGCAACCACTCTCCTGACCTTTATGGTAGCCACTTCATTGCATTTATTTATGCTTTTATCACCTAAACATGCGTCCTCAACACCATAGTTTCATTTTGCCTGATTCTAAACTGTACATAAGGGGAACCATGCAGTATTAACTCTATGGCTGTCCTCTTTTGCTCAATATTGTTCATGAGATTTATCCATTTTGCTGTGTGTAGCTGCAGTTTGTTCATTTTTCATTGCTGTATAGTATCCCACTGAATAAATATAGTACAATTTATCTGTTCTACTACTGATGAAAATTTAGTTGCTTTGTGTTTGGGGCTATTAAAAATCATGTCACTATCACCATTCATGCACATGTTTCCTGGAACACACTTGCTTGCAAATCTATGGGTACATTCCTAGAAGTAGGGTGACTAACTCAAAATGGCTTGCTTAGGAGTTTCCTAGTTTTAGCACTGAAAAATCTCACATCCCAGGAAACCCCTCAGTCAGGCAAACTGGTATGGTTGGTCACCCTATCACCTAGCAGTGTAAATACTGTGTCATAGGACACAAATTATTGTCAGCTTTACTAGATAATAGCAAACACATTTTCCAAAGTGGTTGTACCAGTTTTCATTGCTAAATGCAATGTATGGGAGTACTGATTGTTCCACATCTTCACCATCACTTGGTGTGGTCAGTCTTTTTAATTTTACCCATCCTAGTGAATGTGTTACGCTACTTCACTGTGATTTTAATTTGCACTTCCCTGCAGACTAATGATGGTGAGCACCTTTTCATGTTTATTGGTCATTTAAATAATCTTTTTTTTGTGAATAGCCTGTGCAATACTCTTGCATGTTTTGTACTGGATTCTCCCTCTTTTTCTTAAGAATCTGTAGTAATTCTTCATATATTCTGGACATGAACCATTAGTGGGTTTTATGTGTTTTGCAAATAACTTCTACCTCTATGTGGCCTGATCTTTCATCCTCTTAATGATGTCTTTGAATGATCTGAAATTCCTAATTTTAATGTAGTCAAATTTATTCAATTTTTAAAAATTGTAAGTACTTTTTGTGTCTTATTTGAAAAGTCTTTCCCTACCCAGAGGTGATAAAGTTATTGTTTATATTATTTTCTTTTTCTTTTTTTTGAGACAGGTTCTCGCTCGCTGTGTCGCCCAGGCAGGAGTGCAATGGTGCGATTTCAGCTCACTGCAACTTCTGCCTCCCAGGTTCAAGCAATTCTCCCGCTTTAACCTCCCAAGTAGCTGGGACTACAGGCACAGGCCACCATGCCTAGCTAATTTTTGTATTTTTTTTTGTGGAGATGGGGTTTCTCCATGTTGCCCAGGATGGTCTCGAACTCCTGAGCTCACAAGCAATCTGCCTGCCTCAGCCTCCCAAAGTGCTGGAACTACAGGTGCACGCCATCACGCCCAGCTATTTTTTTTTGGTATTTCTAGTACAGACGGGGTTTCGCCATGTTGGCCAGGCTGGTCTTGAACTCCTAGCTTCAAGTGATCCACTTGCCTCGACCTCCCAAAGTGCTGGGATTACAGACATAAGCCACTGCACCGGGCCTGAAGAGTATATTTATTTTCTAAAAGCTTTACTGCTTTGCCTTTCATATATTTACTTCTACAGTTCATCTGGAATTTAGTTTTGTGTACGACATGAGGCAGGGGTTAAGTTTTATTTTTGTCTCCACATAAACAGCCACCACCACTTATTGAAATGGCCACCCTTTCTCCAGAGCTCCATAGCGCTGCCTCTGTAATGCATCAAGTGTCCATTTATGCCTGGGTCTGTTTTGGTCTCTGTATCCTGCTTCATTCACCTATTTTTCCTCTATTTTTCTATCTGCTATTTCTATCTATCTATATTTCTATATTTCATCTATATTTCTATTATTCACTTATCTATTTTTTATCTTAATAACTGCAGCTTTATAATAAATATTGATAGAGCAAGTCTGACCACCACATTCTTTTACAAGAGAAAATTGTCTATTCTTCGCCTTTGGCATTTCCCTTTTCGGGGGGTTGTTCTTGATTTTGAACCAGGGTCTTGTTCTGTCACCAGGCTGGAGTGTAGTGGTGTGATCATAGCTCACTACAGCCTCAACTTCCTAGGCTCAAGTGATCCTCCTCCTTTGGCCTCTCAAAGTGCTAGGGTTATAGGCTTAAGCCACCACACTTGGCCTCTCTTTTGTTTTTTTAATGGTTGCAAAGTATTCTTTTGTATGAGTGTACCAGATTTATTTATTTATTTATTTATTTATTTATTTATTTATTTATGACGCGGTTTCACTCCCATCTCCCAGACTGGAGTGCAATGGCACAATCTCAGCTCACTGCAACCTCTGCTTCCTGGGCTCAAGCGATTCTACTGCCTTAGCCTCCCAAGTAGTCAGGACCACAGGTGCATGCCACTCTGCCTAATTTTTGTATTTTTTGTGGAGGTGGGGTTTTGCCATGTTCCCCAAGCTGGTCTTGAACTCCTGAGCTCAAGCAATCTGCCCACCTTGGCCTCCCAAAGTGCTAGGATTATAGGCACGAGCCGCCGCACACGGCCCAGATTTTATTTAACCAATTATTCACCTCTGTACATAATGCTACCGTAAACATTTTTCTGGTTTTTTTTTTTAATCGTAACTACTAGTCCACCAGGGGTGAACATTCTTATAGATATGTCTTTGTGATCATGTGTGAATGCTGAGAGGATATCCTCTGTATTTGCCGCCTACAATAGCTAGCCTCTCTGCTCCTCTTGACCAAGTCCCTTTCTTTGAAACTGTGCCCAAATGTCCCTTACTCCCTAGCAAGTCAGTCGCTTCTTACCCTGAGTTTTCACAGCCCTTGATGGTCCCCATTGCTGTACTTATCACATCCTACTATGGTGGTTTCTTGTCATTCTCCCTTAGTAGACTATCAACTTCTAGAGTGCAGGAGAGGAGAGGTGTTTTACTCATCTTTGTGCTTGGTGCATTATGGGCATTCAGCAAATAATAATGAATAAATTAACACAAGAATGTAGGAATGAATGTATTACAACTAGCAGTCAAATGAATCAGCACAGAAATGTAGGAATAAATGAACTCAACCTGGCAATTCAGAAAAGATATCTTTTTCTCCTGACCTTCCAATTCTGTTAGTTAACTGTATGTAATACAAATGCATTACTTACATTTTTTGTTTTAATGTCTCAGAGCTTATGGGTTTAAAAAAAATTTCCTCTTCATAACTATGTTTGTAATTTTGATATCGTTGCTAATAAGTTGAAAAGATAAGACATGGGGAAAGGAAGAAAGAACAGATAAATCAATGGCAAAAGGAGAGAGATTTGAATCACACTTACCTGTAACAGGCTTAGGTGGTTTGATCTTCATTATGTAAACTGGAAGACTCAATTTAATGTCTCCTTTAAAACTAACATTTGCATCCTAAAACAAGGAAAAGGCATAGTTAATAAGCCAAGAGAAGAGAGGAAATAGAATAATTAAAAATACTAATTTTAAAAGAAGGTGGAAAAGAAGGGGAAAAAGAAAAATAAGAGGACAAATAGAAAGTAAATAGCAAGATTGTAAAAGTAAATAGCAAGACTGTAGATTTAAACCCAAACATATAAATAATCACATTAAATGTATATGGTCTAAATAACCCCAGTGAAAAGGCAGAGATTGTCAGACTCTATAAAAAGGCTAGACCCTTACTGGGCATGGTGACACACTTGTAGTCCCAGCTACTCTGGAGGCTGAAGTGGGAAGAACGCTTGAGGCCAGGAGTTTGAGGTGGCAATGTGCTATGACTGTGCCTGTGAATAGCCACTGCATTCCAGCCTGGGCAACATAGCGAGAGCCCATCTTTGAAACAGTTTTTTTAGAAAGGGCAAGACCCAACTATATGAGGTCAAAAAGAAACTTTGTGTGTGCGTGTGTGTGTGAGAGACAGGATTTTGCTCTGTCACCCAGGCTGCAGTGTAGTGGAACAATCACAGCTCACTGCAGGAGCGACCTCCTGAGCTTAAGCAATCCTCCCACCTCAGCCTTCTGAATAGCTGGGATCTCACAGGTGTGCACTACCACACCTGGCTAATTTAGTTTTGCAGAGATGAGGTCTCGCCATGCTGCTCAGGATGATCTTGAACTCCTGGGCTCCTGTGATCCTCCTGCTTCTGCCTCCCAAAGTAATGGGATTACAGGTGTGAGCCACCACATGTGGCCAAGAAACTCATTTTATGAAACACTATCTGAAACCATAGGGAAAAAGAAGAAACTCGTTATATTAAATATAATGACACAAACATGTTAAGAATAAAAGTACAGAAAAAGATATATCTTGCTAAAATGAATCAAAAGAAAGCTTGGGTGGCCATATTAGTATTTGACATAGAAGAATTCTGAACAGAGAATATTATCAGGAATCAAAGGGTCAGTGAATAATGACAAAACAATCAATTCATCTGAAGACAAAACATTCCAAATTGTTAAGCATCTAATTACAAAGCTTCAAAATACACGAAGCAAAAATTCGTAAGAGTGAAAGAAGAAAAAGATAAATCTACAATCTTAGAGACTCCTTTTTCAATAAGTACAGAATAAGTAAACAGAAAATCAGTAAGAATATAGTAAGGATATAAAAGGAAAAACAGAAAGGAGAAAAACTTGAATAGCCTGACCAATAACAGCTTTATTGGTCTTCAAACATCCTTTTCAAGTACATATAAACACTTACCAATATAATCCACATTGTGGGAATAAAACAAATCTAAATAAACTTAAAATGATTCAAATATATAAAGTATGTTTTCTGATCGCAATGGATTTTCTGATCACAACGGATTTTATGAGAAGCCCATAAAAAAAGCCAGCTGTAACATTTCCAATATTTGGACACTAAATAACATACTTCTAAAAATCTACTAGTCGGCTGGGTGCAGTGGCTCACGCCTATAATTCCAGCACTTTGGGAGGTCGAGGCGGGCGAATCACGAGGTCAGGAGTTCAAGACCAGCCTGACCAATATGGTGAAACCCCATCTCTACTAAAAATACAAAAATTAGCTGGGCATGGTGACATGTGCCTGTAATCCCAGCTACTTGGGAGGCTGAGGCAGGAGAATTGCTTGAACCCGGGAGGCAGAGGTTGCAGTGAGCCAAGATTGCACCACTGCACTCCAGTCTGAGCAACAGAATGAGACTCTCTCTCAAAAATAAAAAAATAAAAACCTACTAGTCAAAGAAGAAATACAAAAGCAAATTATAAAGTACTTTGAAATGAATGAAAATAAAAAAATCAAATTTTAAAGCAGTACTTAGATACAAGTGTATAGCATTAAATGCCTATATCAGAAAAGACGATCTCAATGATTTGAGCTTCTACCTTAAGAAACTAGAAGAGGAGCTGGGCCCAGTGCTCAGGCCTATAATCCCAACACTTTGGGAGGCTGAGGCAGGTGGGATCACGAGGTCAGGAGTTCAAGACCAGCCTGGCCAAGATGGTGAGACCCCGTCTCTACTAAAAATACAAAAATTAGCCAGGCGTGGTGGCAGGCACCTGTAATCCCAGCTACTCGGGAGGCTGAGGCAGAGAATTGCTTGAACCTGGGAGACGGAGGTTGCAGTGAGCCAAGATCATGCCAGTGCACTCCAGCCTGGGTGACAGAGCGAGATTCCATCTCAAAAAAAAAAGAAAAAAAGAAGAAAAAGAAAGAAAGAAATTAGAAGAGGAAACTAAACCCAAAGTGAGCAGAACAAAGGAAATAATAAAAACAAACTGGAAATCAGTGAGATAGAAAACAGAAAAACAATAGGGAAAAATATATGAAACTAAAATATTGTTCTTTTGAGAAGATGAATAAAATTGACAAACCTTTAGCCAAACTGATTAAGAAAAAAAGAGAGAAGACACAAATTACCAATATCAGGAATGAGAGGGATGACATCACAATAGATTTTAAAGACAATGAAGGGATAATAATGGAATGTTATGAACCACTTTAAGCCAATAAATTTGACAACTTAGACAAAATGGACAAATTACTCGAAAGACACAAGGTACAAAAGCTTGCTCAAGAAGAAATAGATAACCTGAATAGTGCTTTATCTATTAAAGGAGTTGAATTTGTAGTTCCACAAAGAAAGCTCCAGGACTAGATGGACACATTAGTAAAGTCTACCTAACATTTTAAGAAGAAATAATGCCCAGCCTGAGCAACATGTTTTTCTATAAAAATTTTTAAAAATTAGACAAGCATAGCAGCACACAACTGTAGTCTTAGCTATTTGGGAAGCTGAGGTGAGAGGACTGCTTGAGCCCAGGAGGTTGAGGCTGCAGTGAGCCATGATCATGCCATTACATTCCAGCCTGAGTGACAGAGTGAGCCCCTGTTTCAAAATGAAAAAAGAAAAAGAAAAAAATGTGCAAACAAATTGATGAGTAAAAAAATGCAAGTTTATAAGAAAATATATACAGTATGATGCCACTTATGTAGAAAAAAAATTCCATGAAACAAAACTGTATTTTTCAAAATAAACGTAAGATGTAAATACACACTAAAGATCTAGAAAACACACATCAACTGGGGCTGGGCGCGGTGGCTCATGCCTGTAATCCCAGCACTTTGGGAGGCCAAAGCGGGTGGATGACCTGAGGTCAGGCGTTCGAGACTAGCCTGGCCAACATAGTGAAACCCTGTCTCTACTAAAAATACAAAACAAACAAACAAACAAAAAAACATGTCAAGCTAATAATGGTGATTACCTCTGGAGAGGGCTGTTTATCTGAATTCCTTGACTTTTCCAAGAGTGATATATTCATATATTATTTGTACAATGTGAAATATAACTATTTTTATTTTTATTATTTTTTGTGAGACAGGGTCTTGCTCTGTCACTCAGGCTAGAGTACAGTGGTGTAATCTCGACTCACTGCAGCCTCCACTCCAGGGCTCAAGCCATCCACCCACCTCAGTCTTTTGAGTAGCTGGGACCACAGCCACATGCCACTACACCTGGCTAATTTTTTTTTTTTTTTAGACAGCTGTCTCCCAGGCTGGAGTGCAGTGGTGTGATCTCGGCTCACTGCAACCTCCGCCTCCCGGGTTCAAGCGAGTCTCCTGCCTCAGCCTCCTGAGTAGCTGAGATTACAGGCACACGCCACCACATCCGGCTAATTTTTGTATTTTTAGTAGAGATGGGGTTTCACCATGTTGGTCAGGCTGGTCTCAAACTCCTGACCTCGTGATCCACCTGTCTCGGCCTCCCAAAGTGTTGGGATTACAGGCGTGAGCCACTGCACCCGGCCATTTTTTGTATTTTTTGTAGAGGCAAGGTTTTGCTGTGTTGCCCAGGCTGGTCTCAAATTCCTGAGCTCAAGAGATCCTCCTGCCTTAGGCTCCCAAAGTGTTGGGATTACAGACATGAGCCACCCCACCTGGCCTAATGTAACTTTGAAAGGGAAAAAAGAAGGGGCTCTAGCGAGATACTTCCACTTCAGAAGTTCACCACTACTCTACTGACACGCCTGAGTCCTCCAAGAGCCATGCTTTCTGAAGACATGGTATGTTCCTGGTCTCAGAGGAAGAGCCAGGAAGCTCCAGGGAAACTGCTCTGTTCTCTAAGGTATTCCAAAACAAACACAAAACCCCCAAGTTACTCGGCTTGGTGAATTGGGCTGTTATTTTGGTAGAGGCAAATCCAGGATTCATAGGACCCTCTTTTAAGAAAAAGAAGACAGAACTATGAACACAAAATGCCCATGGCCACTGTAATTCCATCTAATATGGAGGAAATTGTGACAGAGGAAAGCTAGAGTGAAGAGGTAGTGGAATTAAGTGATTATGGTTACAATATGTTACCTTTGCTAATTTTACAAAAATATATAACCATATGAACACATTGCTAGGGCCCCTTCCAGGGGCCCAAGTGAGGGGCCCTGAAATTTAAGCTCCCTTAACTTCAGGTAAACCCACGTCTGGCCAAATGACTTGGGTCAACTGTCCTCAGGGACGGGAGGTCATCTTCAATGGATATGAGGCACAAGATTAAGTCACTGAGAATTGAAAATAGTGCCCAGGTGGAACATTTCATTAGCATATTTGACATTTAGGGTAAATTTCAAGTAAAAATCAAAATCTTGGGCCCAGTGTGGTGACTCACGCCTATAATCCCAGCACTTTGGGAGGCCAAGGCAGGCAGATCACCTGAGGTCGGGAGTTGAAGACCAGCCTGACCAACATGGAGAAAACCCTGTCTCTACTAAAAATACAATATTAGCCGGGCGTGGTAGTGCATGCCTATAATCCTAGTTACTCAGGAGGCTGAGGCAGGAGAATCACTTGAACCTGGGGGGCAGAAGTTGCGATGAGCCAAGATCGCTCCATTGCACTCCAGCCTGAGCAACAAGAGCAACAAGAATGAAACTCTGTCTCAAAAAAAAAAAAAAAAAAAAAAGAAAGAAAAAGAAAAGAAAAGAAAAATAATAATTTTTAAAAAATCTCTAAAATACAAACTTAAGTCTCTCTGGAGATTTTCTTTAAAGTTTCTTACCATTTCTAAAGGATCTGCAGAAATGGGACCAAGGGAGTTCTGAGAAGAAAAATGAGAAATTAATTCACAATAGGTTTGATGTATGTTTACCACCCCCTTTAATCTTCTGGCATGCTCTCTCTTCCCCTCAATTACTCTTGTGAGTGAATTCATGCAACAGATGTGGAGGGCCAGTATTTGTGTGGGCCTCTGGCCTGCAGAACTTCAACACACGATCCCTATTTTTCAGGATCTTAAAAGGTAGGTGGGGAAACAGGAAATAGTTAATAACAAGAGGAAATCTGAATGAATAGAGTTGAGGAGATCAGTCAGAACACCATTACAAGAATCCAAATTGAGGCAAATATTTCTGATTGGCAAAACATATTGGTGATGTTGAGAATTACATTTAAGTAACTCTAAATATAATTCGTAGTAAAAGAACTACCACTGTAACTGGCATTCATTGGCTGCTTCTCAGTGTATGAAAAAGAAGTGAATTATGGTGAGAAACCACCCCATTCAAGGTGCTTTTCCTATTTGGATAACAAATTAGTCCAAACAAAAATATATCTTTTTGAGTACCAAGTATGATACTATGGAATTTGTTGATAAAAAGCAGAAGGTATGATCTTAACAATCTAGAAATTTATTATCCATTGAAGACAAGAGGATTTTCATGTATAACAGGATAACTACAAACCTAGGCAGTATGTGAGAAGTGTCAAAAAATACATACAAATAATAACATTCTGTAATAGCTTAGAGGAGGAATATCTCTGGGCTAGTAACTTTCCCAGGGACATAGGACTACACTCCATTATGAAGATATTCACTGGCCATAAAGGCATTTATTCAAAGCCACTTGAGCTCAGCAGTGAATGTAACTCTCAATCTTGGTCTCCTATATTAATAATTTCACTAATTTATTTAGCACCTAATACAATGTATTTTAAAGGGATGCTCAGTTAATATTAATATATTAATGTTGGTGGTTTAAAAGTAAAAATAATAAGCATACACTGTATAAATAAGCAAATTAAGTCTTAATATTTACTGAGCAACTATATCTTAAAAACATAGCACAGGCCGGGTGCGATGGCTCATGCCTGTAATCCCAGCACTTTGGGAGGCCGAGGCGGGCACATCACGAGGTCAGGAGATTGAGACCATCCTGGCTAACACAGTGAAACCCCGTCTCTACTAAAAATACAAAAAAATTAGCCTGGCATGGCAGCGTGCACCTGTAGTCCCAGCTACTCAGGAGGCTGAGGCAAGAGAATTGCTTGAACCCGGGAGGCAGAGGTTGCAGTGAGCAGAGATCGCACCACTGCATTCCAGCCTGGGCAACAGAGCGAGACTCAAAAAACAAAAACAAAAACAAAAAAACAGCACAAGGCCCAGTCATCATATATAAATAAACTGAAATGGTAGAGTTTCTACTTTCTAAGGATAATAGAAAATATATATATATTTCTGTATATTGAGAACAACCTCTTTATACCATAGTCTGGAAAAATTTAATGGAATTTGAGGCATGAAAAGATTATTTCAGCCAGGAGGGAAAAAAAGATTACCAGTGAAGCAGGAGTCAGGACAAAAGACCCTCCTTCCAGAGAAATGCCTGGGAGTGGTCTCAGTGGAGAGGCAACTCCCAGACTAGAGATACTGCGATTCCCACTACTGAAGACACCTCTACTTTTTAATATCTTATTTTAACCAAAGGAAATTGACTTGGGAGACAGGGGCCAATATTCCTGTTGTCCTCTCTTATAGCCCAGAGGCCTCATTCACCATAAGTTTCCAAGGACTTGGGCTAGATGTGGGTCAGGGGTAGGGAGAAACATATCAGCTGAAAGCAGAGATATTTCCTACCAGTTGCGGCTGTCTGACTTTTTTCTTTGGATTTGAAGTGAGTTGGGGGTGCTCTAGTTTCTTGAGCCAAGTCTCCTTGGGCAATTTATACACATCCAGCCAAATATCTCCGGCTCCTGCATTGGGAAACCAGAGAACCATTGAGCAACTGTAAGAGAGCCACAAGTTTCCTCTGAGAAATGGCCTGTCTTCTTCTTAGAACTGCTGGCAAAGAGACCAGCCACCTCCATACCAGGCAACTTTGACATACTGAAGGAGAAGTAGTTCTGCAATGGTTATTGCAAGTCCTCATGCCCCACATAACTTTCCCATGGAGAGTTATCCCCTCAACCCACCACCACCTATCTAAGAGAAACAGGGGCTTCTCACACTAACAGCACTCATGCAACAGCTTTTTAACCAAATTGTTCTGCCCAGCCCCCACATTTTCTTTGTTGCAAATGGTAAATTCCATTGACATTAAAAAAAATATGGGGCCGGGCATGGCGGCTCACGCCTGTAATCTCAGCACTTTGTGGGGCTGAGGTGGGTGGAACACCTGCAGTCAGGAGTTCTCAGCCTGGCCAACATGGTGAAACCCCATTTCTACTAAAAATACAAAAATTAGCCGGGCATGGTGATGTGTACACCTGTAATCCCAGCTACTCGGGAGGCTGAGGTGGGAGAATCACTTGAACCCAGTGGGTGGAGGTTGCAGTGAGCCGAGATCAGGCCGTTACACTCCAGCCTGGGCAACAGAGTGAAACTCCATCTCAAAAAAAAAAAGAAATGCTTCATGAATTTGTGTGTCATCCTTGCAGAGGGGCCATGCTAATCGTCTCTGTATCGTTCCAGTTTTAGTATATGTGCTGCTGAAGTGATCACATCCACTGACATTTTGCCTTCAGTTTTACCTGTCTGGGGAGGAGGGCAGCAAATACAGAATCAGCAACTGAGAGAAGTGTGTCTGAGGAAGGGTTAGAATTGGGAAAGATGTACCTAAAGAATTCTTCTGACCAATATTTGAGGAGATAACAACCCATGGGTTGGCTGTGGGACTTTATCTTGTCAAAGAAACATGCTCAGCTTCTATAGCAAATATATGTTAACCTAGGAAAGGTTGTTCTCCCATGGTATGGGATCCTGGCTAAATTTTTTTCTTAAAAAGTAATCTTCTGGTCACCTTAATTTCACACTTCTGGCCTCTAGGACTCTGAGGGAATAAATATCTATTGTTTTAAGCTGCCCAGTTTGTGGTACTTTGTTATGACAGGCTCAGGAAACCAATACAGATGGTGCACAAGTTTCCTTGAATACACAAAGCATTATACAATGCATATCCTTCGCCAGGCGTGGTGGCTCATGCCTGTAATCCTAGCACTTTCAGAGGCCGAGGCGGGCGGATCACCTGAGCTCAGGAGTTCGAGACCAGCCTGGCCAACATGGTGAAACCCCGTCTCTACTAAAAATATAAAAATTAGCCGGGCATGCTTGTAGGTACCTGTAATCCCAGCTACTTGGCAGGCTGAGGTGGGAGAATCGCTTGAACCTGGGAAGCAGAGGTTACAGTGAGCCGAGATCATGCCACTGCACTCCAGCCTGGGTGACAGAGCAAGACTCCTTCTCAAAAAAAAAACAAAATAAAATGCATATGTTCCTCAAATACCTGACATTGGAGGGGGCTTGGACAAGAGTATAAAATAGAGGCCAATATACCATGTATCTAAATATTTAAAGGTTAAAAATCAAGGCAACAAGCATTTGAATAAAATATGTTCTATTGTCCCAGTGATAACTGCAGCAGGCAAGATCCAATGATGAGTGCTGAGATTGGTGGGTAAAACATTAAAGAGAAACAGCACATCAGCATCCTCTCAAAGTATCTCCCTCAAGGTGTTTATTAATTACTGTGGTGGTTTTAACACATGTCCAAAAATTCTTTGATTCTCTTACCTCCAGGAGACGATACTTTTTTTTTTTTTTTTTTTTTTTAAGATGGAGTTTCGCTCTTTGTTGCCCAGGCTGGAGTGCAATGGCACGATCTCGGCTCACTGCAACTCCGCCTCCCAGGTTCAAGCGATTTTCCTGTCTCAGCCTCCCCAGTATCTGGGATTACAGGTGCCCACCACCACGTCTGGCTAATTGTTGTATTTTTAGTAGAGACGGGTTTCACCATGTTGGCCAGGCTGGTCTTGAACTCCTGACCTCAGGTGATCCGCCTGCCTTGGCCTCCCAAAGTGCTGGAATTACAGGCGTGAGCCACCGCGCCTGGCCAGGAGGTGGTACTTCTATCATTTTCCCTTGAGTGTGGTCTGGATGTAGTGACTTGCTCCTTACAGAGGATGGGAAGGGGAAAACAGTAGCTCTACAGTGGAGAAACCTGGCGGACACCACTTGAAGTGATCAAGGTTAGTATTAGCAGTAGTGAGTCATGCTGCTATCATGTACCCCTTGATATGATGCAATGAGAAAAGCTTGTCACCTCTGTTGTATCTTCCCCCAAATCCTTAACCCCAGTTGAATTATGAGAAAAATATCAGACAAGCTGAAATTGAGGGACATTCTACAAAATACCTGACTGGTACTCTTTAAGGCCTTGAAAAATGAGGAAAGGCCAAGAAACCATCCTAGGTAGGAGGAGACTAAGGAGACACAATGACTAAATATAATATGGTATCCCAGATTGAACTTTGGAGCAAAAAAAAAAAAAAAAAAAAAAAGATTAGTGGAAAAACTAGTGAAATCCGAAAAAAAAAATCTGTAGTTAAGAGTTAGTTAATAGTACTGTACCAATGTCATTTGCTTAGTTTTGACAAATGTGGTGTGGCCATGTTGAACATTAATATTAGGGAAGCTGGGTGAAGGGCATAAGGGAACTCTGTAATTTCTTTGCAACTCTTCTTTGAATTGAAAATAATTTCTAAATAAAAGGTTTGGAGGGACAAAAGCAATCATTTGGAAGATTGGAAGAGACTGAAAATTTGAACCTTAACAGTCTTTGGTTAATCTTGCCTTGTAGGAGGAAGGCTGCAAAGTCCCCTCCTTGAGAGATCTCCATCTTTATACAGGTAGTTTGCTTGCTGGTATCATCCTGAAAACAAAAGAGATGTTGATAGAGTAGGCATAGCCTGCTGACAGAGAATGTATTTCAGGACCTTCTGTGGTCTGCACCCAGGAACAGAGATCCTTTTAAACCTTGGGACATGAAAAGATGCTTCAAACTGCTTCATACTTCCCATTTTTGTACAAGAATTGGACAAGATGATATGTAAAGAAGTAGAACTCGCTTTTCTATGTAAGGTTTTTGAACTTATTTCCTGGTTTCTTAAATGCTCCTGGTGACATCTGGCATACTATTGGATCTCCTCGTCAGGTGTGCAAACCCTAAAGCCTATGCTGGCATCCAATTATTCAACTAAATGGAAATAAATTCTACATGACACTGAAAACTCTGGTAGTTGCTGGACAAAAGGCTCTATTTAGACTATGGTAGAGACTGAATGTAACCTTAGTATGAAACCTGCTCAAATTGTGGATAAGGTCAGAGGGGCTCAATGTGAATGGTTATGCTATCTTTTTTTTTTTTTTTTTGAGACTCGCTAATTTTTAAAAATTTTAAGAGAGACGGAATCTCACTTTGTTGCCCAGGCTGGTCTTGAACTCCTGGCTTGCAAGTGATCTTCCCAAGATGGCCTCTCAAAGTGCTAGGATTATAGGGGCATGAGCCACCATGCCCGGCCTAATGTATCTCCTAAGTCTCTTAATTTATATTAGCTCCCTCATTTGTTTTTCTGTTTGCCATTTATTTGTTGAAGAAACCGTGTCATTTGTCCTATGGAATTTTTCGCATTGTGAACTGGATTGATTGCATCTCCATGGTTCCTGTATTTCCTGTAAACTGATAATCAGATCTACAGCTTTGATTAGGTTTAGGTTCAATGTTTTGGCAAGAACACTCCACAGGTGCACTGTGTCCTTCCTACTGCATCATATCAGGAGGCTCATAATAGCTGGTTGTCTCTCTTTTAGTAATGTTAAGGTTGACAGTTGAGAACAGTTATCATCCTGACTCCTTTATTACAAACTTCCCCATCAGCCATTGGTGGTTATTGCCTAGACCATTCTTTGTAATAGGCAACAAAAGTAGGATACCTCAGTTCTATCATTCCTTCTGCATTTATTAGAATTCTTCTATAAGGAAGATCTTTCCATCATCAACCATTTTGTTGCCTTGAAATTGGTTGCCCATATGAAAAAGTCAGAATAAAAGCTTGATTCTTTCCCTTATCAGTTTTCAGAATACTGAGTTTCTGAAACTTCCCTCACAACTTCCAAAGTTGTGACAATAAAGTATTTAAAATATATTATCATGAATTAATGGATTTTAAATATTTTTATGTGTTTTAATCCACCAACAGTACTTTTTTTGTAACATCCCTGATAATTTGAATATCATAGTTATGCTGGTCTCATAAAATGAGTTGCGGGACATTCCCAGTATTTTTTTTTTCTTAGGAGAGTTTATTTAAAGATAAAATTTAAATATAGGTAAAGGCACAGGTATTAAATGCATAACTTGATGAGTTTTGACAAACTTATACGTCCCTGTAACTAACACCCTGTCAAGGTATAGGACGTTACCATTATCCTAGAAAGTTACCGTATGCCTGTTTGAGCCAACTACACTTCCATATGCAACCAATGTTCTGCTTTCCATCGCTAACACAGATAAATTTCGCCTGTTCTTAAGTTTCATATAATTTCATAATTAGAACCTACTCTTTTGTGTCTGGCTTCTGTCATTCAACTTGATGTTTTTGAGTTTCATCTGCTGCGTTGTAATCATCAGTTGTTTATTATTTATTATTGCCGATTAGTGTTCCATTGACTTAGTCTACCACAAATTTTTATTTGTTCTCTGATTATGTTTTTTTGTTTTCGTTTTTGTTTTTGTTTTGAGACGGAGTCTCACTCTGTCGTCCAAGCTGGAGTGCAGTGGTGCGATCTCAGCTCACTGCAATCTCCGCCTCCTGGGTTCAAGCAATTCTCCTGCCTCAGCCTCCCAAGTAGCTGGGACTACAGGCGCGTGCCAGCACACCCGGCTAATTTTTTGTATTTTTAGTAGAGACGGGGTTTCACCGTGTTAGCCAGGATGGTCTTGTTCTACTGACCTCGTGATCCGCCCGCCTCAGCCTCCCACAGTACTGGGATTACAGGCAGGAGCCACTGTACCCGGCCTTGATTATTTTTTTTTTTATTACAAATACAGCTGCTATGAACATCTTGTACAAATCTTTTTGTGAACAAATGTTTTCATTTCTTTTGGGTAAATACCTAAAAATGGGCTTGATGTATCATAGGTTTAACTTTGTAAGAAACTACCTCACCTGTAATCTCAGCACTTTGGGAGGCCAAGGTGGGAAGACTGCTTGGGTCCAGGAGTTCAAGACCAGTCTGGGCAACATGGCGAAACACTGTCTCCTTTTGTAAATGTCAGTTTAAGTCTTTTGCCTATTTTTTATTGGGTTGTCTTTTTATTACTGATTTGGAGTTCTTTATATATTCTGGATACAAATACTTTGAAGGATATATAAATATATATAAAGTATATATATATAAAACAGGTATTTTCTCCCAGTCTTTGGCTTGTTTTTACATTTTCTTATTATATTTATTATTATTTAAGGCCTTTATTAGCAGTTTGCAGTTTGGCTTTTTAAAAACCAGATGCTGCACTGATAATGCAATTAGTTCTAGTTATCTGGTTAACAGGCAAAAAATAAATAAATAAATCACCCCCACCCTGCCCAGCCTCAGGATCCAAGGCATTCTCAGCTGGTGGATCCCTTGCTTTTGTCTCTGCCACAGTGGGGTTTAGGATTTTCTGGACATCTACATCTGTAACTGAAGTTGCAGTTGTTGACCTTGTGTCTCATCTTGATTTTCCTTTTCCTCTTCATTGCTGACCTCTCTGTCTTTGGTGAGAAGGGGCCCTGGAGAATTGTGGTGTAGGATTGTGTCACTGGTCCACCTTGTTCTCCTGCACCCTGGTTATCAGTACCTCCATCACTTCTCCCTGCACCGGACGGCTGCAATAGTGTGGGCACCTGGCCGTCACAGCCACAATAGTGGTGCACCACAATAATGTGGGTACCCACAGGGTCGCCACAGGCTAGAAGCCCATGCCTGGGCCAGCTGTTGAGCCTGGCCTTCAGGAACACTCTCTGACCTTTGGTCATTTCCCCACTCTCACTGTTCTGATAATTCGGCTGGTGAGTGAGTGGAGGACTGGCCCTACAATGCGGACAGCATTCATAATGGTTAGTCTGCTGCAGATCTACTTGCCTTGCATAGGAATGCAATTAGGGCCTGTAACATTTGCGACCTCCATACCCTTCAATAACCTCAAACTCCATCTACTACACTGGGAAAGCACTTCCTGGGGTTATTCTTTTATGACTGTCTGTGTCCAAATACACCTCCTTGATGTCCTTTCTGTGGATGAAAACATAGCCATTCCTGACATTGAATCATCTGTTTCCGAAATTTTCATTGCAATGACGCTCTTGTCCTAGCCACCCTAGCAACCACTTCTTATGGTGCAGATGTGGGCACTGCTGAGGACTGGCAGCTGCTGGGTCTCAGCCTCCTTGCTCAGGGTAGTGGTGATGGTGACTAGAGCCAGCTGCGACAACTGTAGCTCCTCCAGGGTGTGACTGTCACTAGGACGGGTGGAGGTGGGGCTGTTCAGGGCTCTCTGGGGTCCGCTCTCTGCTCCTGCTACTGACTGAACTCTAATAGCATCTTTCGATGAGCAGAAATTTGAAATTTTTTAACAGCTTTATTAGAGGTATCATGACATAATAGCATGTTTGAAGTGTACAATTAGATAAGTTTTGACATATGTGTACCTCTTGAAACCAACACCACAATCAAGACAGTGAACATATCCATCACCTCCAAATGTTTCCTCCTGCCTGTGTTGTGTTGCCCCAGGCAACAACAGATCTGTTTTCCATCACTAGGTTAGTTTGCATTTTCTACAGTTTTATAAAAATGGAACCAAACAGTTATGTATTTTTATCTGACTTCTTTCACTTAACATAATTATTTTGAAATTTATACATGTTATATGCATTAATAGTTCACTCCTTTTTATTGAATAGTATATCCCATTGTATGGATACACCACAATTACTTATCCATTCACCTGTTGATGGACATTTGGATGGTTTCCAGTTTTTGGCTATTACAAATAAAGCTGCTATGAACATTCACGTACAAGCCTTGGTATGGGCATACACTTTCATTTCTCCTGGATAAATACTTAGGAGTGGAATGGCTGGATCACATGGTAAGTACATGTTTAACTTTTGAAGAAACTGCCAAAGTGGTTGTACTATTATACTTTACCACCAGCAGTGCATAGGAAGAGTTCCAATTGTTGCATATCTTTGCCAACACTTGGTATGGTGTTTTTATTTATTTTTTTATTTTCCTTTTTTTCTTTGTTGTTTTATTTTTTATTTGTGTGTGTGTGTCTGTGTCTCTGTGTGTATCTGTGTGTTTTGAAACAGTCTTGCTCTGTCACCCAGGCTGGAGTGTAGTGGTGTAATCTCAGCTCACTTCAACCTCTGCCTCCTGGGTTCAAGTGATTCTCCTGTTCAGCCTCCTGAGTAGCTGGGATATAGGCGCCTGCCACCATGCTCAACTAATTTTTGTATTTTTAGTAGAGATGGGGTTTCACCATGTTGGCCAGGGTGGTCTCAAACTCCTGGCCTTAAATGATCCACCTGCCTGCCTCCCAAAGGGCTGGGATTACAGGCATGAGCCAGCGTGCCTGGCCTATTTTTGGTGAGTGTTTTTAATTTGAGGATTCTAATACATGTGTAATTATATCTCATTGTGATTTTAATTTCCACCTCCCTAATGACTAATGATCTTGAGCATCTTATTTGCCTTCCATACATCTTCTTTGGTGACCCCTTCTTTTCAAATCCTTTGCCCATTAAAAAAAAGTTACATCTTTTCTTGTTTTGAGAGTTCTTTATATATTCTGGTTACAAGTCCCTTATCACATATGTAATTTGCAATGAATTCTCCCAGTCTATGGGTTGTCTTTTCATTCCATTAACAATATCTTTTACAGAAGTTTTTAATTTAGATAAAGTCCAGTTTATCTTTTCTTTTATGGATCATGCTTTTGGTATTGTGGCTAAAATATCTTTGCCTAACCCAGGATCACTTTCTCCTATGTTTCAGCCTAGAAGTTTTATAGTTTTAGGTTTTACATACAGGTATATGATCCATTTTGAGTTACTTTTTGTATATGGTGTGAGGAATGAAGTCCAATATTAATATTTTCTTTTATGATTAGTGCTTTTCATTTTCCTAAGAAATCTCTGCCTGCCCCAAGGTAGCAAAAAAATTCCTCTGTGGTTTTTTTTTCCAAGAAGAAATGTTTTTAGCCTTTACATTTAGATCTAAAATCTCTATCAAATTAATTTTTATATATGGTGTGAAGTAGAGTTGAGGTTCATTTTTCCATATTTGTTTTTCCAGTGTTTTAGCATTATTTGTTGAAAATACTCTCTTTTGGCCCCCACTGAATTGCCTTGGTGCCCATCAATAGTATTTCTTAGAAGACAAATTATAATAAAAAAATCTACTATGACTCACACCTGTAATCCCAGTACTTTGGGAGGCTGAGGCAGGAGGATCACCTGAGGCCAGGAGTTCATGACCAGGCTGGGCAACAACATGGCAAGACCCTGTCTCTATTTAAGAAAAAAAAAAAAACCTTACTCTGAGTAATACCCTCTCTTTCGGGAATTCATTGATTTGAAAAATACTTTCTGAGAACTTACAGTATTGTAGGCAATGATCTGGGAAAAGGGGATTCAAAAGGTAAATAAGACAGGTCCTCTTCCCTCAGGAGAAGCAGTCACATGAACAAACTAGGGTAGAGGGTGCGGGAAACACTGTGGTAGAAACTGTGTTCTCTTTGTCAGTGGCACAAAGCAGGGAGAGATCAGCTCCTCTTGGGTATATAAGGGAAAGTATCTTAGAGGAGATATTTGAGCTGGTCTTGAAGAATGGGGGAAATTTTGGTAGGGAGACAAGGCGGCAGGGAGACAAGGAGAGCATTTGAAGCAGAAGGAACAGCATGGGCAAGGGAAGGGGAATGTGAAACAGCCCAGGATATTTAGGGACTTTTGAGTACTTATTAGATATGTTGGTCTGATTCTCAAAAGAAAAATCTGGAGTTCCTTTGCTAATTTTCTTTTCTTGACAACAGGGTAACTAAATCCAAGGAATTCAGCATGTACCCTTTGATGGTCGCGGATCTTTTAAATGGATATTTTGGAGGAGGCTCTCTGGCCATGGAGGTCTCTATTTCTTTCTAATCTAGGCCAGCTATCATTGCTTCCATATTAAAAATAAACTTAATTTGCTACAGCTTTTGGCCCAGCTAATGGTGAAAGAATAGGAACTCACCACTTCATTGATGGCTTTGACTAGGTAAAGTCCTTCCTTATAAAAATAAAAGAGTCTAATGATACCTGAAACAGAAAAATAAGTGAGAATGTTAAGACAGACAATTGAGCTGAAGAGAAACTGGAAATTTTATATTGGACTTTGTGAACTTACCATCATGAGCTCGCTCATTCTTAGGCCTCCTTCCCAGCCCCTCCACTGCCTATGCTGCTCTTGGTCTCCCTGCCTTCCTCCACCCCTCTTGAATGTTCGGGTTGTTTTCCTTCCTGGGTCCTCTCCACCTACCCTGGCTCCACCGGCATCTCCCAGACGTCTCCTGTAAGACATGGGCTACATCCATCCACTGGTTGATTCCTATCTGCCTGATTGAGCACACCATCCCTTACTGCTTCACACCATTATCCAACTGTTTCCTGCAAATGTATTGTATTCCTCTTGAGAATTCATAGATTCTTTGAGGGAAAGATCATAGCTCACTGTTCCATGTGTCTTGCCTCTCAATCCCAACAAGCTCCTCGTGCAGTTAATTTTGTTGAATTAATAAGTAAATATGTTAATCTAATTCTCATTTAACCTAATGGCTCCAGTATACAACCATCACCCACGATGAATTCTTACCTCTTTCTTGAGGTGCCTCCCACATACTTATGACTTGCCTCTCTATACTATAATATAACCTTGTAAAGGCATCTGGCCCACTGTGGGTAAACGTCTAACTCAACCCAGTACAGATTCATGGGATATCTCATTCATGCCAACAAATGTGCTAGGGACACCAAGACAGTCTACCTTCAGATTCATCATATTCAGGGTTACACAGACTTGAAACCAACTAGTATAATGTAGTGTGATACATATGATCCTATCTTTACACTAAACTCCTTCTGAGTATCAACATTCCCACAGAGATATCCCTAGATGCCTCAAGTCTGCACATGTTCAAATGGAATTCTTCAACTCACAGAACCCTGAAATCTTATTTTCCCATAACTGTTATCAAGAAATGACATCATCATCCACCCAGTATTCTAAGGCACAAAGGGGGAGGCATTCTCCTTCATTGCCCCCCAGGCACACTTTCCCACTACTTGACCCATATGCATATTCCATCATTCCCTAAGTTTTTCCATTAAACATTCCTTTCATTTTTTAAGCTTTTTATTTTGAACTAATTTTAGACTTATAAAAAAGTTACAAAAATAGTACAGAGTTTCTTTGTATCCCTTGTCTTGCTTCCCCTAATGTTAACATCTTACATAACCATAGTACACTTTTTCTTTTCTTTTTTTTTGAGATGGAGTCTCATTCTGTCACCCATGCTGGAGTGCAATGGTGCGATCTCAGCTCACTGTAATCTCCGCCTCCTGGGTTCAAGCAATTCTCCTTCCTCAGCCTCCCGAGCACCTGGGTGCCCACCACGCCTGGCTAATTTTTTTTTTTTTTTTTTTGTATTTTTCGTAAAGACGGGGTTTCACCATGTTGGCCAGGCTGGTGTCAAACTCCTGACCTCAAGTGATCCACCTGCCTGGGCTTCCCAAAGTGCTGGGATTACAGGCATGAGCCACCACACCTGGCCTTTCTTTTCATTTTAACAGCCCCTGTCTTGGTTCAGATGTTCAGAATTTTCTCTCCTTAATGACTGCATAGTTTTTCTGCCTCTCATTTTGCCTTTTTCAAACTCCTGCTAGAGTGCCCTTCTTAAATGCCAGTCTGGTCAGGTCACTCTCCTGCAGAAAGTTCTTCAGTGTGCCTGTGCTGGTTGAGCAGAGCCTGAGGTCTAGAGAGATGCATGCCTTCACAGATGATCTCCAAGTGAGCAGGCACTTTCCGCTCTGCCTGCCACAATATGACACAGCCACCTCACTCACTTCCAGCCAATGCTGACATTTGCCTTCTCATCCTCCACAAAGTAGGAAAGCTCCTCAAATCCAGAGGTAACAGTCTGTTTCACCCAAACATAAGGACAGGCTAGAGGGAGCCTAGCTTTTGGGGGGCAACCAAGAGTAACAGCTCACCTATCTAGGACACTGTCTACAGTTTTCGATACCATACTCCTCATGGAGGCCTGGTTCATCCTCAGGCTGAGGGAAAAAGAGCAAGCTCTGGTTTGTATGAGAGGACTGCTGAGTGCTGGAAGGGTGTGGACTCCAGGGCCATACTGCCTGGTTTGAAGCCTGACTTTCCATGTTACCTCAAATAAGTTATTTAGCTTCCATAAGTCAGTTGCCTCTTCTGAACAGGAATAAAAAATTTTACTTCCCCCCTAAGGCTGCCATGAGGATTAAATGGGCTAGCACATGTGAAATGGTAGAACAGTATCTGACCCACCATACCTGTTCTGTACATATAGTTACTATTACATGACCAGGGAGAAGTCTCCATGCCTGGCCCCACCAATACCTCAAAAGGAGATTAAATTGACAACAGTCTACAGGTACCTGTAAATGAGGCTAAAAAGGAAGATGAAGAACAATACCCATTTCATCCACAGGAGCAATGAGTATTTCATTCCCTAAATCTGTGGCCCAGATGGAAGTGACATCAACCTTAAGCTTCTCCCACGCATATATTTGTTTAGCACTGTACAGATTATAAATTGAGAATCCTTTGGCTCCTCCAATAAACACATAGTCTTGGGAAACAGCCATACAATTTGGCATTTTGTTGAGCTGGGAAAACAAAGAAAAAATATTATTTTCAGTTGTCACTGTCTTCAAATATTATGAGTTAGCTTCTCAGAGACATTCAGGGGCCCTTCCTAGATAATAATAACATTTCCTGGCTGGACGCAGTGGCTAACGCCTGTAATCCCAGCACTTTGGGAGGCCGAGGTGGGCAGATCACATGAGGTCAAGGGTTCGAGACTAGCCTGGCCAACATGGTGAAACCCCATCTCTACTAAAAATATAAAAATTATCCGGGCATGGTGGCATATCCCTGTAATCCCAGCTACTTGGGAGGCTGAGGCAGGAGAATGCTTGAACCTGGGAGGCGGAGGTTACAGTGAGCCGAGATCACACCATTGCACTCCAGCCTGGGCAACAAGAGCGAAACTCTATCTCAAAAAAAAACCCCAAAAAACAACATTCCCAAACATAGTGCTCATCTAAAACTCTTGCCTAAGCATCAAGAAATTCATAGTATTTCACTGTTAGGGCAAAGAGAATAGAGAAAAACAAATAAGTTGAGAACAAATGCATATTCACAACACTAGGCATGACCACAGGCCCTGCACTTTATTCAGCTTGTGCACTGTGGGAGGAATGGTAGCCAAGGCACTGGCAGATCCTCAGCCATCCAGCAAGAGAGTAGATTAATACATTAAGAAGATTTTTCAGTAACAACCACTGAATATAAAGGGATAGTATTCAATTAACCAGAACACCCCATATTTCCCCAGGCAATTACCAGATCATTTTAATCAACATCAGCATGCTTCTAATCTTTCAAAAATGCACTGACTTATTGAATGCAGCTTTCTAGTAGGAATTCCTTCCTGGATCAGGGGATTTCATTTATTAACACTCAACTGAGAAACAGGGGCTCCTGGTCAACTGCTTACTCCATACCTGGATTTCTCCAAGTGGAGGGTAGACGGTGGGCTGGATCTGGCTGCTCTCAGCTTCCCTCAGTGCGTTTCTCTCTTCAATAATTTCCCAAGACTGGTCAAACAGAAGGTTCACCAGCTTGTTGATCATTCGATAAGGCTGAGGCAAGGAATCCAGCTCCTCATCTGGATCCACGAGGACATGATCCTGTTCATCGTCTTTAGGCCAGTCCTTCTCTGTTGGGGGTGGCACCTCCAATGGTCCCTTTCGTGTACCAATGGGGTGCTTTATTTTCTGGGTCTGACTTCCTCTTGGGAATGACATCACAGAAGGTGGCACTGGGAACCTCTATGAAACTGAAAAGCTGATAAGAGAAGTAAACAAAGGAATTCTGGAAGAAAGGAAGCAATGAGAAGATAGCACATCATCCTTTTCTAGCACAATAGCCTATAGGGACTGCTTATTCCACAGACTGGCATTTTCCTTAATTACCAGAGGACTATTACCACATTCTTAGGATATGCTCTTCATATTAGTAAGGACATTAGAGGAGGCAGGTATTTTCCAGGCCAACCCTAGATGATGTGTACTAAGAAGGAAAGAGGAATTTTATACCCTTGTTGATAGGAGGGCAGATGTCTTTCTGTCCCAAATACAATTCACCCTCTCTCCTACAACTTATGCCTTCTCCTCATTCTCTTTCTCTCTGCAGATGGCTGTGCCCAAGCCAGGTGGGCAGTGAGCCACGACTCTCCTCCCTTTCTTTCCTTTACCCCCCATCAGATGCAGTTCAAGCACTCCCAATCCCGACTGTCTGATTTGTTCCCTTTTCTCCTTTCCCGCTGCTGCTGCCCAGAAGTTCTGCAGACACAGTGCTCAGGGCCCATGAGATTTTTCAAGAGCCTCCAGAAATGTTTGAGACATTAAAAAAAGAATTGACCAAAATAAGACCCATAAACTTCCACTTCTATCTGTGCCACAGATTTGAGGAATGAAATACTTATTGCTCCTGTGGATGATAATTAAATATTTACAAAAATATTTACAATTTATTAGCTCCACTCTGTGTGTGTGTGTGTGTGTGTGTGTGTACACACACATATATATGCATACATCAACTTATAAATATATAAAGTCTGTATATGTATACAAATAAAGTTCATGTCTACAAGAAGAGAACAAGTAATCTTTACTTCAGAAAATTCAAAATTGTAGGGCCTGTGGGGTGGTTCATGCCCATAATCCCAGCACTTCAGGAGGCCAAGGTGGGAGGATTGCTTGAGGCCAGGAGTTTGAGACTAGCTTGGGCAACATAGCAAGATCCCATCTATACAAAAAATTTAAAAATTAGCTGGGCATGGCAGTATGCATCTGTAGCTACTTGGGAGGGTGGGGTGGGAGAATTTCTTGAGCCCAGGAGTTTGAGGTTGCAGTGAGCTAAGATTGTGCCACTGCATTCTACCCTAGATGACAGAGTGAGACCTTGCCTCAAAAAAAAAAAAAAAAAAAAACCCTCAATATTGTGTACATTATAAAAAGGCTTTCATATGTTACAGTTTTTAAAAAAATATTTAATGTAGAACATGAGATAAATTTTAAGGTGCTTAATATATAGTGGAGTAGGGTCTTGGACTGTGTGAGTGCCTAGGGTCCATGAAGTCTCATAAAAGCCCTGCTGCCACTGTCATCTTTTTTTACCGGCTGGAGTACATCTGTGATGCTTTCAATGTGTGAGTATGAGGACACTAGCTGACACTGGGGGAAGAACCACCTGAAGTAATTAGTGGGGAGAGTAAGCTGAGCTCACAGAGGGCCAAGAATAATGCCTGTTTCCACCAGCAAGACTGGAAAGCCTCATAATTCACAGGGATTATGTAGAGTAGTCTGAAAAATCTTGCCTCGGTCGTGGGAAAAATTAGCCCTAGAATAAATGCTCCTCTGTTGTCACCCATCAAATCTTAGAAGTTAGATAATCAAACTATTTCTAAGTAACATACTGCATCCCAGAACAAAGCTCAAGAATATTTAGAGGAATGTAAAAATATCCAGCATTCAATGGAGTAAAATTCCCAATGTCTAGGATCCAATAAAGAAATTACTTGGGCTATAGAAAGGCAAGAAAATATAAGCCATAATAAAGAGAAAAATCGATCAACTAAAGCTGAACCAGAGTCAATAAAGATATTAGAATTAGCAGACAAAACAGTTATAACTTTTTCCACAAAGTTATAAAGCTGTAACTGTTATATCTATATCTTTCTAAATCCATATTGAGCTTTTAGAGACACAGCTACAAGGTCTGAGATGAAAAATACATCAGATTAGATTAACATGAAGATTTCAGAGGAAAAATTAGATGGCCAGAAGAAAAGATTAGTGAACTTGAAGACACAGCAATAGAAACAAAATGAAACGAAGGAATAAAAAAGACTGAAAAAAAGAGAAGAACTGAGGTGTGAGATCATTTGAAGTGGCCTAATAAAGAGTGACTGAAATCCCCAGAAGAGAGAAGAAACAGAAAAAAATTTTGTAGAAATAATGAACAAAAATTTTCTAAATTTGATTAAAACTATGAACCCACAGATTTGAGAAGAAAAACTATATAAAATTATGGATAAAGAGAAAATTTGAAAGCAGCCAGAAGAAGAAAGGCATCCCATGTACAGAGGAACAAAGTAAAAAATAACAGCAGACTTATTGAAGGAAACCATGCAAGTGAGAAACAGTGAAGCAACATCTTGAAAGTACTGAAAGAAAAAAACTTGTCACTCTGGTATTCTATATCCAGAAAACATATTTTTCAGAAAATTAAAGTGAAATAAAGCCTTTTTAGACATACAAAAATTGAAAGAATTCATCATCAACAAGCTAGCATTAAAATAAATAACGTAAAAGAAAGGCTTTTAGGCTGAAGGAAAAGGATCAGGGTATAGTAGCTCCCAGGACTTTGGGAGGCTGAGGTGGGAGGATCACTTGAGCCCTAAAGTTCAAGACCATCCTGAGCAACAAAAGGAGACCTTTATTCTATAAAAAAAATTTTTTTTAATTAGCCAGGCGTGGTGGCATGTGCTTGGAGGATCACTTGAGCCCGAGAGGTCAAGGCTGCAGTGAGCCATGATGGTGTCACTGCACTCCAGCCTGGGTGACAGATATCCTGTTTCAAACTAATTAATTAAATAAATAAAATAAAATGATATCAGGTGGAAATAGAAATTTACATAAAGAAGTGAAAAACACTGGATGCATTAGGCAAATTAAAATATTTTTCTTATTATTTAAATCTCTTTAAAAGATATTTAAAATGCTTAAACAAAAAAATAAAAATGTAGTGTAGGATTAATAACATATGTAAAGAAAAATGTATGACAATAATAGTACAAGCACTAGGAGGGGAGAAATGGAAGTATATCAATATCACTTGAAGGTAGGCTATGCTAGGTTAAAGATGCATACTCTAAACCCTAAATTAACCACTAAAGAAATAAAACAAAGAGTTCCAGCCAACAAAAGCAATAAAACACATGAAAATACTCAATTTAAATACTTAATTTAAAAAAGCAAAAAAGAGGAAAAAGGGAACAAGGAACAGACGGGACAAACAATGTATAGCAAAATCTAACCATATCAATAATCACATCAAATGTAAACACTCCAGTCAAATGATAGAAGTTGTCAGAATAGATAAGACTCAATATATGCTGTGCACAAAAACCCCACTTAAATATTAAGACACAAATATGCCAAAACTAAAAGGGTGAACAAAGGTATACTATGCTAACACTAATCAGAAGAAAGCTGGAGTGACTACATTAATATCAGACACAGTATATTTCAGAGCAAAGAATATTACCTGCGATAAAGAAGTTCATTTAATAATGATAAAAGTGGGCCGGGTGCAGTGGTTCATGCCTATAATCCCAGCACTTTGGGAGGCTGAGACGGGCGGATCACGAGGTCAGAAGATCGAGACCATCCTGGCTAACACGGTGAGACCCTGTCCCTACTAAAATTACAAAAAAAAAAATCAGCCGGGCGTGGTGGTAGGCGCCTGTAGTCCCAGCTACTTGGGAGGCTGAGGCAGGAGAATGGCGTGAACCCAGGAGGCGGAGCTTGCAGTGAGCCGAGATTGCACCACTGCACTCCAGCCTGGGCGACAGAGAGAGACTCCGTCTCAAAAAAAAAAAAAAAAAAATTATAAAAGTGTCAATTGATCAAGTGGGTATAAAAGTCCTAAATGTTTATGCACCTAATAACAGAGCTTCAAAATACACAAAGTAAAAATGGATAGAATTTAATGAGAAACAGGAAGATCCACAATTATAGTCAGAGATTTCAATACCCTCTTCTCAATAAATTATAGAACACATAAACAGAAAAATCTGTGAGGATACAGAAAACTTCAATAACACTATTAAGTAATTTTTTCCAATTGACAGTTACAGAACGCTCTACCCAAAACAGCAGATTGCAAATTATTTTTAAGTGCACATGAAACATTTACCAAGACAAACCATATTCCAGGCCATAAACCAACTCTTACTAAGTTTGAAAGAACTTAAATAATACAAAGTATGTTCTCTGACTGCAACAGAATTATTTTAGAAATCAATAACAGAAATTTCGATGGTTCAATGTATACAAGACCTCAAAATATTAGGAAACTAACACGCTTCTTAATAACCCATGGATCACTTTTAATAGTTTTAATGCTCCTAGGGTAGATACTCAGGAATGGGATTGCTGGGTCATATGGTAAATATATGTTTAAAATATTTTACATACATATTAGAATGGCTAAAATAAAAAAAATAGTGCCAGGTGTGGCAGCTCATGCCTGTAATCCAAGCACTTTGGGAGGCCAAGGTGGGAAGATTGCTTGAGGCCAGGAGTCTGACACCAGTCTAAGCAACACAGTGAGACCCCATCTCTACAAGGAATTTTAAAAAACCACTGGGGTGGGGGTGGCGTGCACCTCAGTCCCAGGTGAGGTAGGAGGATTGCTTGAGCCAGGGAGGTCAAGGCTGTAGTGAGCTGTGATCATGCCACTGCACTACAGCCTGAGTAACAGAGTGAGACTTTGTCTCTAAAAAACAAACAAACAAACAAACAAACTGACAATACTAAGCACTGGTGAAGATGCAGAGCAACTGGACTCCCATACATTGCTGTTGAAAATGCTGAACAGGACAGCCACTCTGAGAAAGGATTTGACAGTGTCTTATAAAGTTAAACATATATTTACCATATGACCCAGCAATCCCATTCCTGAGTATCTACCCTAGGAGTATTAAAACTAACCTATCATCCGAGCACTTTGGGAGGCCAAGGCAGGCAGATTGCTTGAGCCCCGGAGTTCAAGACCAACCTGGGCAAAATGGCAAAACCTCATCTATACAAAAAATACAAAAATTAGCTGGGTGTGGTGATGTGCACCTGTAGTCCTAGCTACTTGGGAGGCTGAGGTGGGAGGATTGCTTTAGCCAGGGAGGTCAAGGCTGCAGTGAGCCATGATCACACCACTGTACTCCAGCCTACGTGACAGAGTGAGGCCCTGTCTCAAACAAAAACAACCACCACCACCACCACCACCACCAATGTAAGTTCACACAAAAACCTCTACACAAATGTTTATGACAGCTCTACTTATAATTGTCAAAAATGGGAAACAATCCAAATGTCCTTCAACAGGTTTATCAATGGATAAACAAACTGTGGTATATCCATATAATAGAATACTAATCAGTAATAAAAAGCAAAAAACTACTGATCCACACAACAACATGGATGAATCTCAAAGACATTATGATGAGTGAAAGAAAACAGTCTCAAAATTTATATGCAGTCCAATTCCATTTATACAGCATTCTCAAAAATGCAAACTGAGTAATGGGGAACAGATCAGTGTTTGTCAAGAGTTATAAGCAGGGAAGGGTGTTATTCAAAAAGGACAGCATGGCTGGGCATGGTGGCTCATGTCTGTAATCTCAGCACTTTGGGGGGCCAAGGCGGGTGAATCACTTGAGGTCAGGAGTTCAAGACCAGCCTGGGCAACATGGCAAAACCCCACCTCTACTAAAAATACAAAAATAAGCTGGGTGTGGTGGTGTGTGCCTGTAATTCCAGCTACTCAGGAGGCTGAGGACCAATAATCGCTTGAATCTGGGAGGCAAAGGTTGCAGTGAGCTGAGATTGTGCCATTGCACTCCAGCCTGGGTGACGGAGTGAGGCTCTGTCTCAAAAAAAAAAAAAAAAAAAAAGGACAGCATGAGGGAGTTTTTTGGAGTGATGGAACTACTTCATCAGTGGAAAGAAAAACATAAAGCTGTCTTTATCTCCAGATGATATGCTTATATAGGAAATCTGAGGAAATCTACAAAAACATTTTCTAGAACTAATAAATGAGGAGAGCAAGGTGGTAAGATACAAGTTCAATATACAAAAACTGATTGTATTTCTATGTACTGGCAATAACAAACCAAACATTGAAATAAAAATACCATTTACAACAGTATCAAAAACATGAACTACTTAGGGATAAATCTGACAAAAGATATATAAAACCTGTATCCTGGGCTAGGCAAGGTGGCTTGCACCTGTAATTCTAGCAGCTCAGCAGGCTGAGGTGAGAGGATTGCTTTGAGTCCAGGAGTTCAAGGTTGCAGTGAGCTATGATCATGTTGCTGCACTCCAGTTTGGGCAATACAGCGAAACTCCCTCTCTAAAAAACACCCACCCACATACTGAAAACTATAAAATATTGCTGACAGAAATTAAAGAAGACCTAAATAAATGGAGAGTGTGATACCTTATTTATGAGTTGGAAGACTCAATTTTGTTAAAATGTCAATTCTTTTCAAATTCATGTACAAATTCAACACAATCCCTATGATAATCCCAGGTGGCTTTTTTTTTTCCAGAAATTAAGAAGCTAACTTTACAACTCATAATTGGAGGACTAACACTACTTAATTTCAAGACTTATCACAAAGTTACAATATTCAAGACAGTGTGGTATTGGTATCAAAATAAACAAACAGATCAATGAAATCAAATAGGGAGTCCTAAATTAGATGCAAACATATATGGAGAACTTATTTTTGACACAAGCACAAAGACAATTCGGTGGAAAAAGGATATTCTTTTCAGCAAATAATGCTGGAGCAATTAGATATCTATATAGGAAAAAAATGAATGCCGATCCATACCTTGCACCATATGCAAAAATTAACTCAAAGTAAAATCATACACCTAAATGTAAAACTGAAAACTATAAAACTTCTAGAAGAAAACTTTGGCAATCTTCTCTTAGACAAAGATTTCCTAGATATGACATTAAAGTATAACCTAAAAAGAACAAACTGGTCATTTAAACCTTTTCAAAAATAAACTTGTGTTTCTTCAAAACACACTGTTAAGAGAATAAAAGGTAATCCTCAGATGGGGAGAAAATATATGTGCAAGTCACTTATCTGATAAAGTACTTTTGTCCAGAGTATTTTTAAAACTCTCAAAACTCAGTAATAAAAGAAGTAACCCGGCCGGGTGCAGTGGCTCACGCCTGTAATCCCAGCACTTTGGGAGGCCAAGGCGGGCAGATCATGAGGTCAGGAGAGCGAGACCATCCTGGGTAACATGGTGAAACCCCATGTCTACTAAAAAATACAAAAAATTAGCTGGGCATGGCGGTGGGCACCTGTAGTCCCAGCTACTCGGGGGGCTGAGGCAGGAGAATGGTGTGAAACCAGTGAGCCGAGATCGTGCCACTGCACTCCAGCCTGGGCGACAGAGCGAGACTCCATCTCAAAAAAAAAAAAAAAAAAAAGAAATAACCCAACAATTTTTAAATATGTGCAAAAAATTTGTACAGATACTTAACCAAAGAAGATATACAGATGGCAGATAGACTCATAAAAAGATGTTCAGCATCATTAGTCATTTGTGAAATGCAAATTAAAATCATGAGATACCACTACACGTATATTAAAATGCCTAAAGTTAAAAAGATAGACCATGAAAGTGTTGTTGAAGATGTACAATAAGAATGCTCATACACACTATTGGGAAACCAAAATAGTACAACTGGTTTGGAAAACAGTTTGGCAATTTCTTAAAACGCTAATGTGGAGGCCAAAGCAACTCCATCTTAGATGCTAATCCTCCATGTTAACTTCTGATTATCCCCAGTTCCAGAAAAACCTCTAAGATTTCCATTTGACTCATTCCTTGTGTAAGAGCACCACTTACTGTAAATATTGCCCTTAGGTCAAAACAACCTTGATGTTATCATTCTTGCCATAAATTCTGTCCTTAAGCAATTATCTTACACATTCCTTCTGAAGCACCTTTCTCTATAGCACAGAAACCCTGGGTCTGGTGGATAATGGCAGGGATCCACCATCTTGTCTTGCTCCTGAGACATGGCTTCTGTTTGTTTGTTTAAATTGTATTTATTTATTAAATGTTTGTTTCTGAGAAACTGGGTATGTCAGCCTCTTGCTTTGGCCTCTCAGCTTTCTCAGACTTTTAGGGGTAGGTTTGCATAGGCCTGTCCCCTGCAGGACAGTTAAACACATTATCTACCATCATATCCAGTCATTCCACTCTTAGGAGTGGTAGAAGGGAACTGAAAACATATGTCCATACAAAGACTTGTACACGAACAGTCATTACAACTTTATTTGTAGGAGCCCCAAAGTGGAAACAACCCAATGTCCACCAACAGGCAAACAGATAAGCTCTCACGCATTGTCAGTGGTAATACAAAATAGGATAGCCACTTTGGAAAACAGTTTGGCAGTTTCTTACAAAGTTAAACATACCATATGTTTCAGCAATCACATTCCTGCATATTACAGTAGGAAAATTAAAACTTATGTTTCACATCAAAATCTGTACTTAAATATTTATAGCAGCTTTATTTATAATGGCTTCAAATTAGAGACAACACAAATGTACTTCAGTGGGTGAATGGATAATGAATTATAATACATTCACATTGTGGAATAAAAAATTACAAACTACTGATGTGCACAACATAGATAATCTCAAATGCATTATGCTAAGTAAAATAAATCAGAAAAGAAAAGAAAACGCTACATACTATATGATTCAATTTATATGATATTGTGAAAAAGGCAGAATTGTAGGTATAAAAAACAGATGAGGCCAGGCGTGGTGGCTCACACCTGTAATCCCAGAACTTTGGGAGCTCGAGGTAGGTGGATCACCTGAGGTCAGGAGTTCCAGACCAGCCTGACCAGCATGGTGAAACACCATCTCTACTAAAAATATAAAAAATCAGCCATGCGTGGTGGCGCATGCCTGTAATCCCAGCTCAGGAGGCTGAAGCAGGAGAATCGCTTGAACCCGGGAGACGAAGGGTGCAGTGAGCTGACATTGCGCCATTGCACTCCAGCCTGGGCAATAAGAGCAAAACTCTGTCTCAAAAACAAAAACAAAAAACAGATGATACACATCTGTGTTTAGAAGCACCCTGTGCTCACCTCTATCATCTAACATATCTCTGTGTTGTACTTATCAGTTTACTGTGTTCCTTGTTAACCTATTACCCTACGACTAGAGTTTAGCACAGTGGTTGGTATATGGCCAGGACTCAATAAATTCTCATTGCTTGCAGAATTGCCCTGACCTGGGCCACGTATTTAGAGAAAACTTCTGGCTCTCTTCGAGGCTCTTTCCTCTACAAAAAATGAGTAACCCATGGGGCCAAGGAGATATGCTCACCCAAAGCCTAGTTTCCCTCTTCTGGAGTCTAGACCATGTTCAGGGTACCAATACCCCTGGAATTTACTGCCCAAATGACACCATGGCCTGCATGAGCCCTTCTCAGCTTTCACCTGAGGGCAGACCCAGCTGCTAATGTGAGCACTCCTCGATCTGAAAAGGTGGCAAAGGCATGGCTGCTTGCAGAGGTACGGGCAGACGTTGGATGTGGCTTGGAGTATCAGGATGGTATACAAGGCTCCTGGCAGGGAATGCAGGTGGGCACCAGAAACCAGAAAAGAAAGGGAAGTGGGAAAAGACTGGGAGCCATTTCTCCCCACACTGCCATATTCCAGCTGTGTTTCCAGGTATTCTAAGGAGTCTAGGGATTCTGAAGATGAACCTGGCCTTCTACATCATTATGAGGGTCTATTTGTCAATGTAGGAAAACAGACTATATTTTACTTTACAATTTGTTGCTTGATTTATAACTAAAATATTTAAACATACGGTGTGCTGGACTCCATTTGTACTCTTACCCAGGGCCTGCAAATGTTAGGAGCTGGCCTGACCAAGGGAATAAAGATTACGAAAATGTTCACCTTATTTTATTTTATTTTATTTTTTTGAGACAGCGTCTCGCTCTGTCGCCCAGGCTGGAAAGCAGTGGCACAATCTCGGCTCACTGCCACCTCCGCCTCCTGGGTTCCAGCGATTCTCCTGCCTCAGCCTCCCGAGTAGCTGGGATTACAGGCGCCCACCACCACGCCCGGCTACTTTTTTTGTATTTTTAGTAGAGACGGGGTTTCACCCTGTTGGCCAGGCTGGTCTCCAACTCCTGATCGCAGGTGATCCGCCCACCTCGGCTCCCAAAGTGTTGGGATTACAGGCGTAAGCCACAGCACCGGCCGACCTTATTTTGTGGTTATAGAGGGTACATTTTATAAAATTACTGCCACGGAGTGGGTAAGGCTCCTTTTCTTCAAGCCGCACAGAACGAATGTTCAGCGGTGCAATTTCATTGCAATCTATTTTTGCTTCACTTTGCTCATAATGACTCTTTTAGGATTTCCTCAGGTAACAATCTTCTTTCAATGTTCAATAATCCAAGCAGAACATTTTCTCACTTCATCCGCCTCCCATGCTAGGTTCACACTGTGAAATTGGCTTATCTCTGACCTAACCACTTCCTTCACCAGACATAGAGCTGGTGTAGCTCAAGGGAAAGAGGCACGGCGCTGGGAAATGATTAGGCCCCACCGTCCCAAGCAAGAGCTCAGGGGAGTTCTGAGGCTGGAGAGACCATTCGGGATATCACCCCGGGTTCCTGAGAACCTGAGATCTGCGGGGAGGCGTCAGGCATCCGGAAACGCCCGAGTCTGGGGAGACGGACCCCCTCAGACTTTCCTCTAGGAGACTCTACAGGTAAAGGGGAGTCCTGGGACTCGAGGGGAGCCCCGGCATCCAAAGGTAAGATCAGTTTTGCTCACCTGGCCGGGCGGCGTTGCGTCGCCTTGGTAACCACAACTTCCGGCTTGAACCGGAAGTCCGCGAAGTTGCTCTACAGAAAGTGTGCCCGCCCCCTCTGGGGCGGAGAGACTCAGCCCCTCCCCCTCAGCGGATAACCTGGGACTGACCGTTCCCTGGGGATCCGACGGGCCCCAGAGGACCCACGCCTGAGCCCCGTGCGACTCGTGGCCTTTGGGCTAGAAGCCATGGACGCCTTCACCCGCTTCACCAACCAGACCCAGGGCCGGGACCGACTCTTCAGGTGAGTCAGGTGCCAGCGGCCTCCGCCCCTTTCTCGCCCTAACTCGGCTCCCGTGCCTATTCCCCTGCACCCGGGAAAAAGGAGGTGATAGCCTAGTAGATGGAAGCAGGAAGGACGTTGCCAGCTCCTACGGAGGGAGTTTAGTATCCGAGCCCCTCCTTACCCTAAATTCAACGTGAGTGGGCCCAACGCACCCGCGTCCCGTCCTAGCCCCGTGCACGAAAGCCCCAGTGCCTGGCACCCTAGCCGCCTCGAGACCGCCGACGACGGGACACCGGCTGACAGATCCTCCTCCCCTCCTAACTTTGCTCTCCGGGCACAGAAAGATTGGTTCTCTCCACTCAACATTCTTCCGAGGGATCTCCTTTAAAGAGAAACTTTGGATTAGTATTTGTGGCTAGGGAAGCAAACCACTTGGTGTGACTTCAAATATCTCTCTTTTTTTTTTCTTTTGAGACGGAGTCTCGCTCTGTCGCCCAGGCAGTGGCGCGGTCTCGGCCCACTGCAACCTCTGCCTCCCGGGTTCAAGCGATTCTCCTGCCTCAGCCTCCTGAGTAGCTGGGATTACAGGCGTGCACTACCACGCCCGGCTACTTTTTGTATTTTTAGTAGAGACGGGGGTTTCGCCATGTTGGCCAGGCTGGTCTCGAACTCCTGACCTCAGGTGATCTGTCCACCTCGGCTTCCCAAAGTGCTGGGATTACAGGTGCGAGCCACCGCGCCCGGTCTCAAATACCTCTTGAAATGTTTGAGGAGAGACAGAAGTTCTCTTCCATTATTACCCAGGCTGTATCATTGAGATACTGCATGTGGAATAGTTTTGTAAATTGTAAAACAAAATATAGCGGGGATGAGACCACACCAACTGGATTGGGGGGAAATACAGTGGGGAGAAGCTCAGAAAGAACTAACTGCACCTCTAAGGTTCATGCTGTGCTACTGAAAATATTAAACAGAGATTGTGTCTCTTTTTCTTTTGGTTCCATAAGAAACGAAAAGAACTGAGAGATTGTATCTTTAATACGAATACAGTACTAGTTCATGATGTTTTAGAGATTTGGTTGATTCTTGCTTAATGAAAAAATATTTACAGTTGCAGTTTTATTTAACAGCTCTGCATTCTCTTCTGGGTGTGCAAGTGCTGATACAAACAGATCAATTAGAATGGCCCCAATAATGAGGCTTTTGGAAGCCATCTTTATGACAGCTATTGTTCCCAGTGTTTTGCAACTATGAACTTATATAACCCTCATCACAACCCTATGAGGTAGATACTCTAAATATTTTACCCACTTCAGATGGAGAAACTGAAGCAGAAAGAGGTTAATAGGTACTACAATGGCAGAACTGAGGGATTCACATCCACGCAAATGACTCCAGTGCCCACTTAACTACCAAGCTATACTGGCTTTCTCATTAGTTTGATAGGTTTTTTAAATGGTTACTTTATATACAAGCTTCATTAAATAGAAATTTCATTAAATAGAAACCTGTAATTCCAGTGTACCTAGAATGTACCCTGCAGGGTTTATCAAGGAAGTTGGTTAAAAAAATAATCATTTAGGCCGGGTGCAGTGGCTTACACCTGTAATCCCAGCACTTTGGGAGGCTGAGGTGGGCGGATCACAAAGTCAGGAGATCGAGACCATCCTGGCTAACATGGTGAAACCCTGTCTCTACTAAAAATACAAAAATTAGCTGGGCGTTGTGGTGGGCGCCTGCAGTCCCAGCTACTCAGGAGGCTGAGGCAGGAGAATGGCATGAGCCCAGGAGGCAAAGCTTGCAGTGAGCCAAGATCACGCCACTGCACTCCAGCCTGGGCAACAGAGCGAGACTCCTTCTAAAAAAAAAATAAAAACATTAAAAATAATAATCATCATCATTTAGGCCGGGTTCAGTGACTCACACCTGTAGTCCCAGCACTTTGGGAGGCTGAGGTGGGCAGATCATGAGGTCAGGAGTTCGGGACCAGCCTGGCCAACATGGTGAAACCCCATCTCTACTAAATATGCAAAAATTAGCTGGGCGTGATGGCACATGCCTGTAATCCCAGCTACTCAGGAGGCTGAGGCAGGAGAATCGCTTGAATCCGGGAGGCGGAGTTTGCAGAGAGCCAAGAACGCACCACTACCCTCCAGCCTGGGCAACAGAGCGAGACTCTGTCTCGAAAAATAATAATAATAATAATTTAAGATATGTTTATTCCAAAAGATCTGAGATCTCTAGCATTCATTTCCCAACCTCCTTGATGATCTGTATAACCTTTATGACCACACTGGCATTCATAAAATAATACCTTGCTTTCTGTGCCAATAATGCTCATGCAAACACGGTGAACATTCCTAAAACCTGTCAGACTGTAAGAAGTGTGGCAAGCACCAACCCCACAAAGTGACATAGTACAAGAAGAGCAAGGATTCTCTGTATGCCCAGGGAAAGCAGCATTATGACAGGAAGCAGAGTGGCTGTGGTGGGCAGACTAAGCCGATTTTCCAGAAAAAGTCTAAAACTACCAAGAAGTTTGTGCTAAAGCTTGAGTGTGTTGAGCCCAGTGAAGATCTAAGAGAATCCTGGCTATTAAAAGATGCCAGCATTTTGAACTGGGAGGAGATAAGAAGAGAAAGGGCCAAGTGATCCAGTTCTAAGTATCATCTTTTGTTTTATTATGAAGACAATAAAATCGAGTTTATGTTCACTTCAAAAATAAATAAATAAAAGTAATGTCTTACTGTTGGCCTGATCCTTATTATTAGACCAAAGCTCAGAAAGGCAGAATCATTGACATGACCAGTCCTGTAACCAGGAAGGACACTTAAAAAAGAGAAAGCGATTGTTTATGATTCCAGTCTTCTCTTTTTATTTCATTCCTAGTAACAAGTTCACTATTTTAGAAAATGAAAATGTACCGCATTTTTATTGAGAATAATATTTATAGCATAAAGGGATTCAAATGCACTTACAAGACAGTAGGAACCAGGCACCTACTTTATTAGTAGATTGCCAAATGGATTTGGATGTGTGACTATGTGATGTAAAATTTCTCCTACATTTATATTAGTAAGTCATTGTTATTTGTAAGCATGACAATAATCACTTTATTAAATATATAGTATTATTAAGCAGGATTCTGCCTGTATTTTATGTAAAATACGAATAAGTTTTGAAAGACAACTATGAAAACATATTTATACTAATTTATGTACTGATGTGTATTTGGTCCTTTCGTTTATAAAAAATTAAACAATCTTTAAACTGTGGACTTTTCATTTGGTTCTGGTTTGAGTTTGTGTCCTGTCACATAGATGGTAGGTTAAGTACATGGTAGAAAAGTTCATTTTAGAAATCTGAAAATCAGGCCAGGCACAGTAGCTTATGCCTGCAATCCCAGCACTTTGGGAGGTTGAGTAGGGCAGATCACGAGGTCAGGAGATCGAGACCAGCCATGACCAAAATGGCACAACCCCGTGTCTATTAAAAATACAAAAATTAGCTGGGCGTGGTGGCACACACCTGTAATCCCAGCTACTCGGGAGGCTGAGACAGGAGAATCGCTTGAACCAGGGAGGCAGAGGTTGCAGTGGAGCCAAGATCACACCACAGCACTCCAGCCTGGCGAAAGAGCGAGACTCGATCAAAAACAAACAAAAAAAAAACAAAGAAAGAAATCTACACTGGGGAAGAGAAGGAATATGGATCTTTGTAGACTTAACATGAGGGAGATTTTGTACAGTTTCTCACTTTGACTATATCCATTTCTCTGTGCCAGCAAAAGGCCTTTTGGAGGCACATTGGCTGCATTATTGCAGAATTTGTTTTCATTACCTTTGTGTTAAATTTCCATGACATGTTCTACCCTTTGGCTCTCCTGTAGAATGACTGTTGCAGAATTTTGCTTTTGTAAGAGTTGCTACATGAGAAATGGTCTTGGAAATGTTGTCTGGAGGCATGTGTTTCTCTTTCCCTTACTTCCTGAATTAAGTTTTATTTGGTTTGTAAATCATTCTTCTCAATTTTTTTTTTTCCATTTCAGAGCCACTCAGTACACATGCATGTTGCTTAGATATTTGTTAGAGCCCAAAGCTGGCAAAGAGAAGGTGGTAATGAAGCTCAAGAAACTGGAGTCCAGTGTGAGCACTGGTCGTAAATGTAAGTACCCTGTTTCTTGAGGGACAGTGACTCCTGGTTTAGAATCCTCAGCCTCAGACCCTGTAATTCACGGAGTAATTTCTAGGTCATTAATTTCTAGTCAATCAAGTTTATTGGTGAAATTGACCAGTAAGGCTGTCCTCATGGCACAACAGGTTTGAATGTGTTGCTGCAGACCATTCATAAACACCCTCTTATGTTCACATCTGGTGCTACACCTTATCTTTCTGCTGAATCATAACCAGTGAGACAGACAACGTGTTAGTTCACCTTTAGTTCTTAGAATCATAGTATGTTTTAGCAGTCTCTGACATGAGCTTCTGCTCCTGTGAGCCCCTTTATTCTAAACAAGAGTGGAATAGTTATATCCTAGACCACCTGCCTTTTTCCTTTATTGAGGAGTGCTAGAGGATATATAGGTGGATACATTTTTGTAGACCATGTTTGAGGTAGGTTTCATGCCAAAGGTAAAAAGTGAAATCAATATTTTGTGTTTATTAAATTTACTTTAATAATATGTCATACTGGGAAATCCAGTACTTTTCATAGCAATTGCCTTTCTGAGTCTTTGTTGTTTGATGAAAACCAGATGTTGCTATAGTAGGTTAGCAGAGGCATTAGAATGGAATGTAGAGCATCACATATTGATCAGTTGGTTTTGAGCACCTATGTTATATAGGTACATTCCTGAGCCTTATGGGAGAAGTAAGGTGCTTTAAATAATGATATATAAGATTTAGTGCCAAACTTGTTGGCTGAGGTAGAGGAAAAGAAAGGTGTTTTAGAGGAGGTGGAACTTGAGGTGAGGCTAGAGAGAAGGAAGAAGAGAGTTTCGAAGGGCAGTTTTCTCTAATAAAGGCTCAGAACTGAGTAAACCATTGTATGGGAGGATCATTGTCAAACTACAAAACTAGTTTGACAGATTTAAATTGTCAAGCAGAGGGATGGGAAGGGTAGGGCGAGCTTTTCTGGATGGCACTGAAGGCCAAGATTAGAAATTCTATTTAGATTATTTAGAATGTTGGAGCTGAAAGGTCCTTTAGAGGTCACTAGTCTGTAAGTCCAGAAGGGGCTTATCCAGGGTCATTCAGCCAGTTAGTGCAAGGGCCAGAACTGGAACCCAGAATCTATATACTAAAATAGTCATTACATATACTATTTTACTATTTTATGTTATTTTTGATAACATAATACAAAACATTCTTTTTTTTTTTTTTTTTTTTTTTTGAGATGGAGTCTCACTCTGTTGCCCAGGCTGGAGTGCAGTGGCATGATCTTGGCTCACTGCAACCTCCGCTTCCCAGGTTCAAGCAATTCTCCCACTTCAGTCTCCCTAGTAGCTGGGACTACAGGCATGCGCCAATATGCCTGGCTAATGTTTGTTTTTATTTTTTATTTTTTTTAGTAGAGACGGGGTTTCACCACGTTGGCCAGGCTGGTCTCAAACTCCTAACCTCAGGTGATCCGTGCACCTTGGCCTCCCAAAGTGCTGGGATTACAGGCGTAAGCCACCGCGCCCAGCCCCTTCTGAGATTATAAGTTTTCTGAGAGTAGCTACTTCTGAGCACCTCCTGAGTCTAAGGTATGATCCTTCAAGGAAAAGTACTTCTTTTGTATCCTCCGTGACATTTAGTACTATAACTCTTTCTCAGAAGGTGTTCAGTAAGTACCTATTGATTGATGCATCCCTGATTAATTGAATTACGTGCTCACATAAGGACGTGCCATTGCAATGGTTGATTTAATTCAACTAGGAGCTCTGTGACAATATTATTAATTGTTCTATCCATTAAATTCTACCATTTCTACTTTATCTTCTTGACAATAGGTAGCCAAAAGGGGTTTGGACCAGAGAAATGGCAAAATGATAATAGTGTTTTTTAAAAAGACAGTCTTTTGTCTGGAAAATAAATAAAATGCAAGGCATCAGACTCTCCAAGAGAGTATTGCATCTGGAGTTCATGTTATCATAGTACCTTCCTTCTAAAGAAGTGTAGCTGGTAAATAATCAAATGTAACAGTCCACACTCATGATTGACCTTGCCTGGAGTATGCCGTCAGTCAACATTAAGGTGTTCATTACAATGGAGGAGGTAAATTTAAAGAGTCACTGTATTTTTTGCCTTCCAAGATCACTTTAGGTGTCCTTAATGTACTGTAAAATCTTTCTCTTTTTCTGAACAAAGGCTGAGCCTTTAATGACCATCAGTTGTTAAAAAGACCAGTGCTAAGCTGGGCACACTGGCTCGTGCCTATAATCCCAGCTACTCGGGAGGCTGAGGTGGGAGGATTGCTTGAGCCCAGGAGACTGAGGCTGCTGTGAGCTGTGATGGTGCCGCTGCACTCCAGCCGGTGTGACAGAGCAAGACCCTGTCTCAACAAAAAACAACAAAAAGCTGGCTCCTCACCCTGATACAGGGATTCTATCTTCCTGTTGTGTACTAATGAAATAACTGTTCACTATTGTGGGTTCTACTTGCAGGGTTCAGACTAGGCAATGTGGTACATGCTATACAGGCAACTGAGCAGAGCATTCATGCCACTGACCTGGTACCTCGCTTATGCTTAACATTAGCCAACCTGAACCGTGTGATTTATTTCATCTGTGACACCATCCTCTGGGTGAGGAGCGTAGGTCTCACCTCTGGCATCAACAAAGAGAAATGGCGAACGAGGGCTGCTCACCACTACTACTATTCTCTTCTGCTGAGCCTGGTCAGGGATCTGTATGAAATCTCCCTGCAGATGAAACGAGTTACATGTGACAGGGCAAAGAAAGAGAAATCAGCATCCCAGGATCCTCTTTGGTTCAGCGTGGCTGAGGAGGAAACAGAATGGCTCCAATCCTTTCTACTTCTTTTATTCCGATCTCTGAAGCAGCATCCTCCCTTGCTCCTGGACACAGTGAAGAACCTTTGTGATATCCTGAACCCTTTGGACCAGCTGGGGATCTATAAATCCAATCCTGGCATCATTGGACTTGGAGGTCTTGTGTCCTCTATAGCAGGCATGATCACTGTGGCATATCCTCAGATGAAGCTGAAGACCCGTTAGGGTGTTTTTAGGCTTGGAACTAGTACCTACTTTAAAAGATGGCCTCTTGGTGGGACAGACATTTGTATAAGTCACAGGCCATGTCATACTGTGCTTAAGTTCTTGTTCATGTGAGCATTTAACAACCTGTGATGTGGGCAGAGATGAGGCCAAGAACGGAGAAGGGAGGAGCATGAAGAGTTGTATGTTTTTGGAGTGCTGGAGTGACTTGTGAATTTCTGAATATTTTCCCTTCATCTAACATTGATTGAACATCTCTTATGTGCATAGTGGGAGCTTAGTATTTGCTGAATGAATAAAAATTGAAAGGAAAAAATTTAAAAAGACCCAATCGCACTGATCATTGAACACCAGTATACAATAACTTTAGGGTCATATGGATCATTGGTTTCACGATTACAGTAGGTCTGGTGCATGGCACTCTCAGATCTAGTAGAGGCTCTGATGTCAGTAGCAGGATGGAGGAGAGCTGGGCTTACAGCCTCTCAACTTGTTGGCCCTTATACCATCACTGCACTCATGTCCTTGCTCTGTGCAGAAGTAGAATCAGAAAAGCATCAGGCACCTTCATGGTATAAATTGTGTCTATGGGTGCAGTGAATAAGCAAAAATCAGAAGCAGACCGGAGGGACTTATAAAAATAGGTACAGGGTCACAATGGGTGCCTATATGTAGCCTGTGACAGATAAGAAGCTGACAGTGAGACAAACAAAAAACTGAGGCTAGAGCCTCATTCCTCTGACTCCTAATCCAGTGTTCTCTCCATGCTCTCCCACTGTCTTCAGAATTGAGTAGAAATGTGATCCCCTCCTGAATCCTGTTTTTTGCCTCTTACTCTCCCATAATTTGGAAATTTCCTTGTCCAGTGGTTTATATTCTTTTCTAGAAAAACTAAAACTGGGTGGAGTGTGGTGGCTCACACCTATAATCCCAGCACTTTGGGAGGCTGAAGCGGAAGGATTGCTTGAGGCCAGGAGTTCAAGACCAGCCTGGGCAATGTAGTGAGACTCCTTCTCTACAACAAAGTGTTAAAAAATTAGCCAGGCATGGTGGAGTATGCCTGTAGTCCCAGATACTCTGGAGGCTGAAGCAGGAGGATCACTTGAGCCCAGGAGTTCAAGGCTGCAGTGAGCTTCCACCGCACTCCAGCCCGGGTGATAGAGCAAGACCCTGTGTCTTAAAAAAAAATTAAGACAGTATTTAGACTTATCAGTTAGATTGTTTTATTTAAATCCTTCTAACAATTTAGGCAATTCTACATTAATTTTCATCAAAATTTATCCAGTCAAAAAAATTTCATGAATACTCCAGATGTAAGAGAGTCACAATTTTCTACGATAAATCAGACATCTTATTTCTAGGGTGATTGAGGGAGGTGGAAAGCGCAGGAGGAAGCCAGTGAAGAGGACAATGGAATGCTGAGTCAATGACATTGACTTGTGTTCCTATCTGCCATCTTGGGTGTGGGTCTTTATATGTGGTTACAGATCCTTTAGTTTGAGGGAGGTGAGGTAGAGAAATAGGATGCCAGCAGGTAGGAGGCCGATGTCAGTCCTCCCAGCAAAGCTGTGTCATTTATCTGAATGGAAATGAGAAAATAAATATGTACTCAATAAGTCACATTTCCCAGAAATGTGATTGAGATTCTCAAAAAATAGACTCAGATTCTTGGCTGTCTGTTTAACCAATCACGATATGGGATTTGAGAAATAAAATTTAGGGAATTTTAAGAGACATGAAAGCTACTAGGTCAGGGAAAATAAAAAGCTTAAATAACTATTTTTATTGTCCAGATCCTCTACTGTAATAGATTAACTATGTTCAATAAATTTCTAGACAAAATTGACTTGTGTCTGTGAGTGTGTTCTGGGAAGAGAGAAGAGTTAAACATAAGGCAATCCATCAGATAATCCTCAATCAGCCTACACAGTTGGTACAGCGAGCTCTGGGCTAGAAGATCCAGGCTGAGGAGGAGGATGGAGAAAGATTGAGATGTAGAGCCTCTGGGTTGAGAGGGACCTCTGAAATGAACTCATCTAGACTGCTGCCATGGAGATGGTGCTCTACAGTAGCCCTGTCAATCGCTGGCTGGCTTCTGCCTAGGTAAGTCTGCCTTGAATTCATGGTGGTATGTTATGTTACAGTGGTATCCATCTTGGTACTTTTGTCCTCTGCAATGGTGAGTGGTGGGGAGTTTGGGAAATACTACCTCTTCTAAGAGGTTTGTGTAAACCTTAATGGTGTCCTGGTACCACCCTGTGAATCCTTCTTTGTAACTAATGTTTTCCACCCCAGAGCCTCCACATTCATGAGGGATGCCAAAAATCGAAGAAGTTCTTCGTAGATGTACAGCCCAGCACATTCACAACTGAGCATTGTTGCCTGACAATTCATTTATTCAACAATGAATGTTTGAGTGCCATGCATGGTTTTGGGTATCCACTTGTGAGCAAGATGACCTAGGTCCCTGCTCTCACTTGGTGGAGGGGTAGGGAAAGCAGGTAGGTACGGAGAAGGAAAGAAGATAGAACTCTATGCCCTGCAAGCTACTGCTAGAAAACTAACACTTCTGTCTTCCCTCGGGACTCTCCTAGGCCCTTTCACCACTTCTCACCTCTCACCCACATTCTGCACTCCCAGCTAAAGCAGCCAAAGGACTATTTGATTTGGCAGAGCTTTCAGGCACAAAGCCCTATGTTCCCTCTGGCCCAAAGCCACTACTCTGAAGGCTGAAAACTGCCCTTTGGCTCAGGTTGCTGTCCAGTCACAGCCTCACAGATAATTTGTGCTGAACCTTGAGGTGAGGGCAGAGGCCACTTCTTTAAATACTTTGTCTTCTCTACTGCCTTACATTTGAAAAGCACAGGTTGGATCAATAAGTATTAAACGTATAGCGTATTACTCCTTTGAAGCCTCCCTGCTTGACTCCTCCCTTTCCTGCCTTCTCATTCCCTACTTTATTGCATCACAGATACGTAATTTATTACCAAGGATCTTTCATAATTCCCCACCCCTGCCTCTTTCTTCTCTTGCCCACACTGTGTGACTTAACAGAGTCAACAATACATATAATTCCACCAGCAACAAAGAAAATAAGTTTTGTTTTCCTATTGTCTGTTTTCATGAAGAGGCCCTTCTTAGTTAATCTGAAAGCTATGGCTTATACCATAGTCCTCCATCATATCTAAAGCCAGGAACTAGAACTTGGGCTTGTGCTTGAGTCCTGGGTAAAGAAGGGTTGAGTGGTGCTAATTCTTGGCTGTCTGGGTGCTCTTGATTAGTGATAGAATCCTAGTCAACACTGTCGCTTATCCAGACCCAGGAGAATAAAAATCTACTTGGCTCTCCTACTCTTCATTCTGGTAGCATCTTAGGCCAGGTAAAGTTCAATAAATTTTTTTGAATTCTAAGAAGTGGGAATTCCTCCCTCAACTCAAAGGCTATATTGTCAAAAACTCAACTCCCGGCTCTGTCGCTTCTTCACTGAGGGCAATTTATCTCCATAATCAAAGATGAATACATTCAGATGAACTCTTCTGTGTGGGTTTAAATTTTACTGTTCAGCATTCAGTCTTGCTAGTAAATAAGAAAAGATGAGAGAAATGGATTGAAAACTCCCACAAGACCCTCTATGGAAAAGGAGCCAAAAGATTGCAGAGGTATATAGAACTTTAGAGCTTTTGAGTTTAATGATGTCTATCCCTATACCTTCTTTCTGGAAAGCAGATTTTTGTGAATTGAGGGCAGGAACATTACAGAACTGATGCTTCATGGCTCTGGAATACTAAGTCCTCTGAGCCTGGATCTCCTTCAGCTCTGCCACCTACCTCCTTGTTTGCTAAATGTCCTTAGAGAAGTTAGGATATGCCTGGGGAACCCTGGGTCATATAACCATGACAACTGGCTGACCCTGTTGTCTCTCCCTCTCTGCCCTCCTCTAGCTGGGAGGTGGAAGCAGCATTGCCCAAGCCTCCCAGGAGTGACAGGAATTGTTTCTGCCTGAGGAGACACTCTGCAGCCTGGGCTCTGTGAGACTGAGGTGGCGGTCAGCCGGAGTGAGTGTTGGGGTCCTGGGGCACCTGCCTTACATGGCTTGTTTATGAACATTAAAGGGAAGAAGTTGAAGGTAAGGGCCTCTTGGGGATTTTGCTGGGGATGAAAAACTCTGCAGGGAAACTACTGAGGGAGAGATTCTGGTATAGATACCAGAATCTAGAAATAGAGGAATTGGATAGGCACAGTGGATCATGCCTTTAATCCCAGCACTGCAGGTGGCCAAGGCAGGTGGATCACTTGAGCCCAGGAGTTCAAGAACAACCTGGGCAACACAGTGGGATCCTGTCTCTATAAAAAAAGAGAAAAAATTAGCCCTGCATTGTGGTGCATGCCTGTAGTCCCAGCTACATGAGAGGCTGAGGTGGGAGGGTACCTTGATCCCAGGAGGTCAAGGCTGCATTGAGCCATGATCGTGCCACCACATTCCATCCTGGGCAACAGATTGAGACCCTGTCTCAAAAAACAGATAGGGAGAGGGGGAGAGGGACAGACAGAGAGAAAGAGAGAAATAGAGGAATTAACCCAGAGCCTTTTCAAAGATGAAACCTTTAACTTGTTTATTTATTTTTTTAGAGATGGGCATCTCACTGTATTGCCGAGGCTGATCTCAAACTCCTGGGCTCAAGCAATTCTCCCATGTCAGCCTCAGTAGCTGGGATTACAGGTGCTTGCCAGTGCACCCAGCTTGAAACTTCTTGTTTTAGTCTCTTTTGGACCCTCATTTAAGAGCCTTAAGATTTTATCTAAAACTTTTTATCTCTTATGGCTACCTGCATTTTTTATTTCCTAACCTGAACTCCTTTTTTTTTTTGAGACAGAGTCTCCCTCTGTCACCCAGGCTGGAGTGCAGTGGCAGGATCTCAGCTCACTGCAACCTCCACCTCTCAGGCTCAAGCGATCCTCCTGCCTCAGCCTCCCAAGTAGCTGGGATTACAGCTGCCCACCACCACGTCTGGCTAATTTTTGTATTTTTAGCAGAGACGGAGTTTCACCATGTTGCCCAGGCTGGTCTTGAACTCCTGAACTCAGGTGATCTGCCTGCCTTGGACTCCCAAAGTGCCGGGATTACAGGCCTGAGCCACCGCGCCTGGCCTCTTAACCTGAACTCTTATAGGAAACATTATTCTTGGCCGGGCATGGTGGCTCTTGCCTGTAATCACAGCACTTTGGGAGGCCAAGGTGGGCAGATCACTTGAGGCCAGGAGTTCGAGACCAGCCTGGCCAACATGATGAAACCCCATCTCTACTAAAAATACAAAAATTAGCCAGTGTGGTGGTTCATGCCTGTAATCCCAGCACTTTGGGAGGTCTAGGCAGGTGGATCACTTGAGGTCAGGAGTTCGACACCAGCCTAGCCAACATGGTGAAACCCCATCTCTACTAAACAGAAAAAAAAAAAAAAACTAGCCGGGCGTGGTGGTGGGCGCCTGTAATCCCAGCTACTTGGGAGGCTGAGGCAGGAGAATCCCTTGAACCCGGGAGGCGGAGGTTGTAGTGAGCCGAGATTGTGCAACTACACTCCAGCCTGGGCAACAGAGCAAGAATCCATCTCAAAAAAAAAAAAAAAGAAAGAAAGAAAAGAAAAAGAAAGAAACATCAGTCTTGACAAGTAAGCTATGGAGCAACTCATTGCTATGGGACCCTAAGGAGTGGGGCTATTGTGTGTGATATTCACCCTCCAACCTAATGCCTTCTGTTCAGGGCAAATGGGCCCCCAGGCAGCCTGGGCCTAGTTGGTGGCCATGAGAGGTAGGGAAGTGACCCAGTGGAGCTCAAGCCTGAGGGCTTCTGATGGGACCTGGGACTCTGTTTTGCAGCTTGAGGAGCGAGGATGGCAGTCAACAAAGGCCTCACCTTGCTGGATGGAGACCTCCCTGTAAGTAACTTGGGCTCATCTGTGACAGGGGATGGACAACTGAGGGAGGAGGAAGAAGCAGGGAGGGGAGATGCAGGGGACTTAGAGCAAGATATTCCCAGATTATAATCCTAGTTCATTGACTACCATGGCTTAGTTATTCTTGCCCTCACCACCTTTTGTAGGGGGCAGTTGGAGGATCTGGGAGGGGAAAAAAAGATGCCTATTAAAAATTAAGCACCTTGAAAAAAAGGGACAGAAATCCTGGCTTAGGGACGGGGGGAGTGGAGAGGAAGGAAACTACTGTTTAAACCCTGACGCAGAAGCCCATGCTCTGTCCACCACCCAGCTGGATGTGCATTCAGTGCAGAGCCACTGTATTCTGTGTCTCCAGCATCATTCATAACGGCAAATGTCACCTGTCGGAGTTAGACGGTGCACAGCCTGTGCTGCTGTGTGGGGGGAAGGGTGGGATATTCCATGTGTCTGGTGTTCTATCTCTGACCTGGTTTTCACTGTGACTTGAAGTGATTTGATACTTTTAGGGATGCTTGATGGCTCCTGGCAAGGCATCTCAGATTTGGGCACAGTTCGGATAGTGAAACTTAAAAATTATGAACCTGTGCAATATCCACCTTGCCCAAGTTACGCTTTTACTAACTCCTGCACTAGGAATCACTTTGTTTTGTATTGAATCATAGAACAGAGAGAGGCGTAAAATGGTCAAGTACATGGTTAAGCCATTCTAACAGACGGTGGTTTATTCCCTTCCCAGGATCTCTTTCCTCCTTCGGTTTTGTGTAAAACAACCTCTGAAGCCTCGTCCAAAATGTTAAAAAGAATGTTTTCTTGTTTATAGTCATAGTCTATTTCTAGTTCAAATTTCAAATTCACCTGCAGGATAAAAAACTAAGATATTGGCCAGGTGCAGTGGCTCACGCCTGTAATCCCAGCACTTTGGGAGGCCAAGGCGGGCGGTTCACAAGGTCAGGAGATCAAGACCATCCTGGCTAACACAGTGAAACCCCATCTCTACTAAAAATACAAAAAATCAGCGGGGTATGGTGGCGGGCGCCTGTAGTCCCAGCTACTTGGGAGACTGAGGCAGGAGAATGGCATGAACCCAGGAGGCAGAGCTTGCAGTGAGCTGAGATCGCGCCACTGCACTCCAGCCTGGGAGACAGCGAGATTCCATCTCAAAAAAACAAACAAACAAACAACAAAAAAAAACTAAGATATTGTGGGCTGCTCTGTCTTAGTGTACATGTAGGTGTCATTGATGGGGGTCTTTGAACTCTGCCTCCTACTAACAGAACAGGTCAGGTCTTCACTTTGCGAGCAAAACCATGCCACAGTGTCATATTCAAAGCTACAGAGAGCCTGAGCATCGGAATCTGACCTGGGTTTTTTTTTCTTTTTACTTTTGATATGGAGAATTCTCAACATTCATAAGAATAGACAGAAAAGAACATAGGAAGCCCCACGTACCCTTTATTAGCCCCGAAGACCATGAATTCGTGGCCAATCCCGCCTCGTCCTCACTTCCATTAATTCCCCCACTTCATGTTATTTTGAAGGTAATCCCAGGTAGGCCATTTCCAACTTGTGTTGGAATCCTGGCTCTGCCACTTATCAGCTGTGGGATCTTGGGTAAATCACTTCCTGTTTCTGATTGTCAATCTCCTCATCGACTCAGTGTTGGTGACAGTGCTGACCCCAGAGGATGGCTGTTAGAATTAAGTGAGCTCATGTCACCAAGGCACCCAGACCAGTGCCTGCAGCATAATGGCACCTGGCAAATGTTCTTTCCCTCTGCATGCCTAGAATTTGTTCTTTTAATTTTATTTATTTATTTTTTAGATATAGAGTCTTGCTCTGTCACCCCGGCTGGAGTGCAGTGGCATTGTCATAGTTCACTGCAGCCTCGGACTCCTGGTCTCAGACAGTCCTCTCACCTCAGCCTCCCCAGCAGCTGGGACTGTGTAGTCCACATGCCATCAAATATTAGCATGGCCAGCTTTTTTTTTTTTTTTTTTTTTTTTTGTGGCTCAGAGTGGTCTCAAACTCCTGGCTTCAAATGATCCTCCCGCCTCAGCCTCCCAAAGTGTTGGGATTACAGGCATGAGCTTCTACACTTAGCCCTAGAATTCATTCTTTTACTCAAAGACCAGTGTTTTTTCACTAAGGTTCCTAGGTGACCTAAAACTTAATTATGTGACTGCTGCCAAAGGTGCATTACTAACAGCACAGCACCCCGGAAATGATAAACGATTGTTCCACTACACCCAGCACGTGCAGATCGCACCCAGAGTGCTGTCTTTGAGTGTTGTTTGTTTGTTTTTTGTTTTTTGAGACAGGGTGTCATTCTGTCATCGAGGCTGTGGTACAGTGGCGTGATTATGGCTCACTACAGCCTCCAACTCCCGGACTCATGCGATCTTCCCGCCTCAGGTTCCCGAGTAGCCGGGACCACAGGCACACAGCACCATGCCCTGCTAATTATGTTATTATTATTTATTATTTTTTTTTGTAGAGACGGGGTCTCCCTGTGTTGCCCAGGCTGGCCTTAAACTCCTGGGCTCAAGCGAGGGTAGTATATTTTTAAGAAAGATAATGTAAAACTGTAGCATGTCCAGGAGAGGGGGTCACCAGACCACAGTGTGAACCATTTGTAAACGAAGTTAGGAACTGGAGCCATTTAACATGATGGCGGCACTTCTAAAGGGAGACATATTTGACTTCAAATATGTGAAGGGCCAACCCATGGATGAGGAAATAGGTTTGCTCAGTTTTGTTCCAGAGGGCAGAGTGTGGAACAGGGGGGTGGAGGCAAATTTCAGCTCAGCAAAGCTGTCCAACAAGGGACACAGGCCACTTTGTGAGGGGGAGAGCTCTCATTCAGGGAGACATTCAAATATAAGTCTTGGCTGGGCGCAATGGCTTAGGCCTATAATCTCAGTGATTTGGGAGGCTGAGGCAGAAGGATCACTTGAGTCCAGGAGTTCAAGACCGGCAAGACCCCTCCTCTACAAAATAAAAATATTAGCAAGGCATGGTGTCACAGGCCTGTAGTCCCAGCTACCCAGGAGGCACAAGTGTGGGGACTGTTTGAGCCCACGAGTTGGAGGTTACAGTGAACTATGATGGCACTAATGCACTTCAGTTTGAGCAACAGAGTGAAACCCTGTCTCTATAAAAAATAATAAATAAATAAAAACAAATACAAGTCGACCAGAGGAAGGATGGAAAGGATTCTTACTACAAAGTCCCCTAAGATTCTGTGATTCTGTGCAGTTGGGCAGATCTAAACCTACACATTCTACTAGGCACAGCCCTGACTGTGGTTCACGTATTCAGCTAATATTACTGTGCCATGTTTGGCCTACACTCTGGGGATGCGGAGATGACAGTCTACGGGGAGTGAGATGAACACACATAACCACAGCACGGTGTGACGAATGTGGAGAGAGCCAGGGAGGGAGTGGTTTCCGACGTGATGGAGGAGAGTCTGGAAGCTTCACAGGGGGAGTGCTGGTCAAGCAGAGTCTTGAAGGAATGGCATTCTGCCAGGCAGCAAGGGCTGTGGGAGGGAAGGTGAGCGTTCTAGGCAGTGGGGTCGGGATACACAGGCAGGGAGGCAGTACCCCAGAAAGACCAGAAAAATGTTTGGAGAAGCCACCAATCAAAGGTGGACTAAAACTCTAGACATTAACAACACTTGCTCTCTACCAGTAGGTATCAGGGGAGTGAGCTGAGGTGGGGGTGGGAGTGATGGGATCTGACTTGGTCCCTGGAGAACAGAGATTGCCTTGGCAGCTCTCCAGCACCCCGGATGGTGACCAGGAGGACATGGCCGGCTGACTCTTGTTTTCCCCATGGGCTCTCCCACGCTCCCATGATTGGGGCATCTAGAGACCTCTTTGGCCTTGGTTCCTCCCAGGTCGCTTGGACTCAGGCTAGTTGCACCATTGGTCCCCATGACCCCGGGGTCAGCTTCCCGGGAGGCTGGAGAGGGAGGTGGGACAACTTGAATGTGTTCCTTCCGCACCAGGAGCAGGAGAATGTGCTGCAGCGGGTCCTGCAGCTGCCGGTGGTGAGTGGCACCTGCGAATGCTTCCAGAAGACCTACACCAGCACTAAGGAAGCCCACCCCCTGGTGGCCTCTGTGTGCAATGCCTATGAGAAGGGCGTGCAGAGCGCCAGTAGCTTGGCTGCCTGGAGCATGGAGCCGGTGGTCCGCAGGCTGTCCACCCAGTGTGAGTCCTTGCGGCGCTCAGCAGCTGCCTGCTTGTTCACTGCCTACCTTCCAGTCTGTCTGTCCGCCTCTCAGTCTGTCTGACTGTCTGATAACTTGCTTGTCTGTCTGCTTAACTGCCCACATCCCATTGCATGGTCTTCTTATCTATGGCTATAAAGGTATACATACAGATCTCTTTTCTTCTATAGATGCCTATCTATGGCCCAGCTGGCATTTTCCTAGGATAACAATGATGGCCAGAGAATCTGCAGGGGAAGGGAAGGCAGAGCTGTGCAGGCAGTGGTGAGGGTAGGGCCCATGGCAGACCAGACACTCACTGTCGCAGCACAGGCAGCAGCAGCAGCAAGAACCAGCAGAGTCTGGCAGAGGCAGAGGCAGCCGGCACTAGGGGGCCTGGCAGGGCCGGAGGGCACGGAGGGAGGGGAAAGCTGGCTGAGCCCAGCAGCTGATGGTAGCGGCTCATGACGGGTGGGGGTGGCAGAGAGCCTCCAGCCAGGGCCCTAGAGGCAGAAGATGGCTCTCCTACTGGCCTTACCAGATGTGCACCACTCAAATTGTTCTGCCCCATCTGAAAATGTGGTCTCCAAGGCATACACAGGGCTGAGGGAAATCGCAGCAATGCCAAAAAGTCTGGTACCTTCCACCATCCTAATTACAGAATTATGGGTAGCTGAGGACTCCACACAGCAAACAGGAGAGGACCGATGTGAAGTAGGCCCAGGCCCTGTCCCTGGCTACAATCTCCTTAAATAGTTTCCTTGAGTCTCATTCTGCCCAACTGGAAGACAGCCAAGTCATCTGGGCTCTCTGCTGCTTGAGAATTTTGTGAAGAAAAATAAGGTATCTGGCAAAAGAATATATGAAAGAGTATGAAGAACTCTCCTTGAAAGCTGTGGCCCCCATTGGCCATGGCTGCAGAGCCGATGTCCCGGCCAATCCAGGCGGGATCCCCTTGAAGCAGGTGCATCTCTGATGCATGCCCACTCTCCGGGGGCAACTCTTTTCCCTTCCCTGTGACCCTCTTCGGACAGTTGACCATCTCAACACCTAGTGGTTAAAAAGAAGAGCATGGACGGCCTGGGGCCTGCACTGGCTGTGCTGGGAGTTTGTCATGTTGATAGCTAAGCAGGCCCAGCCCCAAGGCCTCACTGCCATCTGCTTCCCTCTCACACCTCTCTTCTCCCTCCTCATGCTCACTCAGAGCCCCCTTGCAGGTCAGGAAGGAAGAGAAGGAGGGAAAGAACGGTACTTGTTGGTGATTCATATAGCTCCCATCATTCTTCTTCACAAAAATCCTGCCAGGCAGGCACCATTAATTCACCTTTTACAAGGTAGGAAGCAGAGGCTCAGACAGGCTGTGACTAGCTGAGGCCACAGGCTTCTTAGATGTGGTCACTTGGCCTTTTGAGTGCAGGTCTGAGCGACTCCAGAGTTCCCACACAGACAGAAGAAACTGGCCCGGGTCTTGAGGAGTCCCTGCAGACAAGGGCGAAAGAGGGCAAAGGGCCTGGGGCCCAGAGATGCTGGGGAGGCAGCAGGCCTTGGGATTTGAGGGCTCCAAGTCACTTCCTTGGCACAGAAGCCACTGCTAGATTCTCATGGGGAGGGGCAGGGCTCACCCAAACTTGGCCCTTTCCTTCCAGTCACAGCTGCCAATGAGCTGGCCTGCCGAGGCTTGGACCACCTGGAGGAAAAGATCCCCGCCCTCCAGTACCCCCCTGAAAAGGTGAGCCCTTCCCACCTCTCGAAGCCTCCCTGCACTCTGTCGTCACCGCCTCTCAGGGAGGAGAGGGCAGGGGCTGCTGATGCCGTGACTGGAAGTCTGTGTCCCATGGTGAGCACCCTCCAAGGCTGGCGGAGAGTGCCTGCTCCCAAGGCCACACAACAGGCTCCTCTTCTCCCTGTGAAGCTAAACGGAGGTGGGGTTTCTGGGACCAGCAGGCACGAGCCCAGAGGCAAACCCAAACAGGAGCTTGAGGCGGGTCCCACTGCCTCCCGATACCGCACCCTGGGATCTGAGGTTCCATAGTCTGCCCTGGACCACTTGGCAACTACAGCTGCCTAAGATCATGAGTCACACTCATTCAGATCCCAGGAGTGTCATCCCATATCCTCAAGATCCAACCTTTTATGGACCATGAGATTGAAGGTCACTTTACCTGGCTACATATTTATTGGGTAGTTGCTATGATAAGGACTCATTTTTGGTGCTTCTGGGGAATAAGCTTCAGTCTCTGACCTCATCTATCTCACTGACCAACTATCTACCCTTCCCACAAACAGGTACTGAGCCCTACCCTATGCCCGGGGCCATCACCTATGCTTTATCAAGCGCTCTTCTTTAATCCACTTGTCAACCCTCTGGGATAGGGGTTGTTATCTCCATTTTACAGAGAGGAAACCAGTGTCTCCCCCACGGCCACACAGCCTTAAGTGGGGACAATGAGAGCAGGTCTATTCAGCTGTGAGACCTGTGCTCTTTGCTCCCCATTTTTCCAGATAAAAGGCAACATTTTTGTCACAAAAGAGCTCCCAGAATAATGAAGAAAAAGACAAATTATTTCAGTGCAGAACTTGTAGGAAGATCAAGCACACCTATAAATCAACAGAAATGCTGTGTTCTGAGGAAAGGATGGAGGAGATTCCTTGTGAGCCCAAGGGTATCAGGACAGGTGGCACCAAGGACGAGCCTTTGGGGTCATCCTCACAGGATGGGAGGGATCTTGACAGGCTGTGATGCGGGGTGAAGAAGCCAGGAGATCCAAACAGTTGGCACAGGGAAGGTTGGAGCCCTCTCCTCTAAAGCCCAGCTTAATTCCAGGTACCTAAATATCAGTACCAGTTCCCTGGGCCTTTAGGTGATGCCTTCCTGGGAGCTGGGCTCAGGCCACCAGACCCCGGAAGGGCAGCCCTTGTAGGGCCTGCAAGACCACATGCCTAACACCCCCACCAACTTCCCCCAGATTGCTTCTGAGCTGAAGGACACCATCTCCACCCGCCTCCGCAGTGCCAGAAACAGCATCAGCGTTCCCATCGCGAGCACTTCAGACAAGGTCCTGGGGGCCGCTTTGGCCGGGTGCGAGCTTGCCTGGGGGGTGGCCAGAGACACTGCGGAATTTGCTGCCAACACTCGAGCTGGCCGACTGGCTTCTGGAGGGGCCGACTTGGCCTTGGGCAGCATTGAGAAGGTGGTGGAGTACCTCCTCCCTCCAGACAAGGAAGAGTCAGGTACCTGCCATTCGGAGGCTCGGCCTGGGAGTGAGTTGTCACACACACTGCCTGGGAATCAGCAGGAGGTGGCTCAACCAGCCACTGCTCTGGAATAGGGAAGGCCAGTGGGATTTTCAGATGGATTCATAATCATTTACCCCCCCCACCCCCACCCCATCTGTAAAGAGGGAAAGTGAGTTGTGGAACTCACCAGTGAGTTTGTGGTGGACCTAGAACACCTACTTTCCAGTCCTAGACATGACCCAGATCTCTCCGGCCCCTCTCTGACCTGTTTTCTCTTCTTTCCCCCCAAATCCCTACCCAGCCCCTGCTCCTGGACACCAGCAAGCCCAGAAGTCTCCCAAGGCCAAGCCAAGCCTCTTGAGCAGGGTTGGGGCTCTGACCAACACCCTCTCTCGATACACCGTGCAGACCATGGCCCGGGCCCTGGAGCAGGGCCACACCGTGGCCATGTGGATCCCAGGCGTGGTGCCCCTGGTAAGTATCTGCCGTGAGCTCTGACTGACCCGGTGCCTGGGAGCCCTGTGGGCCTCCTAGTCCCTCCCATCCCCCACCCATCACCCCTTCCTGTCCTGAGAACATTCTCTCTTCCAACGTGGGCTGGGGCTTCAGTTCTAAGAGGACTTGAGAGGGGTAGAGGGATGGCCTTCCAGACCACAGGGAAAGAGAAGGGAGAGGATGTTAAGCAAGGGCAGGCCTGCCTTGCTAGAGTGCTCCTTCCCCACCACTCACTTCTATCTCCCCCATTTCCCTCTGAGTCTCCCACAAGCCCCAGCCTTCATACCCCCAAGTGGACCTCTTTCTATGGGTCTTCCCACCTATAAGACAGCAGGACCTCCATCTGCTATGCAAGCACTAGGGACTGTCATCCTTAAATAAACAAAGTATACAACCCATTTTGTCAGGGAGAGTGTACCCAGCACCAATGCACCCAAGGTGAAGTTGCCCTTTCTAGGCCCAGGGAGAGTTAACTCCCCACCACTCCCCACCACTCCCCACCTCCACCTCTCTGTATCTTAGCAGAAATAGGCTGGATGTTTTTCATAAGGAATTTTAGTAAGAAACTAAGGCCAGAAAAGAAAATAAAACAATACTAAAGCATAAAGGCCAGCAAACAAGATGACTACTTTTCAGCCATCTTTTGAGCAGTACTTTTAAAAGCATCATCAGGCGTGGATCATTCATTCAAGCAAGTGTTGCCCCTGCAGGAATACAGGAGTAGTAGCTCCCCTCTGTCCCCTGCATCAATAACAGCTGAGACTGAGTCACATGCCTGGACCCCGCCTGCAGTGGGCAGAACCTCACGTGCCACCATTCGCATGGAATAGAGTGGCATCCCCAAAAGCTGTGTAATAAGGAGTCTCTGTTTGTGGGGCTCCCTAGAGGTTTAGAATGTGCCTCAGGAGATACCAGCCCCCTTGCTCAGTCAATTTCTTCCCATGGGACACTCTGGTTCATTGAATTTTTCACTCTTAAAAGATCTGGGAGGAGTATCTACCAAAGCTAACATACATATATCCTATGGCCCAGCAGTTCCACTCTTAAGTGTATACCCAACAGAAATGAGCACTTAAGTCTCCCAAGACAAGTGAAAAATGCTCAGATCAGCAATATCCTTAGCTAAGAACTGGAAGCGATGATAATGTCCATCAACGGTAGAATGGGTAAATTACAGGAAATTCGTATGATGGAATATTACACAGAAATGAAAAAGAAGGAACTACTTCCATTTGCAGCAACATGGGTGAAACTTACACCATCATATTTAACTAAAGGAGCTATTAATAGATGAATACACATGGTGTGACTCCACTTACATGAAGTTCGAAAATAGGCAAAACTAAGGCATGGTGACAGAGAGCAGGACTGTGGTCACTCTTGGGGGAATGTGGACTGAGTGGGGACACAGGGAGTCTTTGGGTGTTGAAAATGGTCTATGTCTTGATCTGTGGTGGTTACACAGGTGTGTTCTTATAAAAATTCATAGAGCTTACACTAAAGATGTGTGCACTTTAGTGTATGTAGATTACCAACTCAATAAAAAGTTTCCAGAAAAGTCTGCTGGGGCTGAGCCCTGCTCACCACCTGGCCCGGACCCTGGGGGCGAGGGGCTTGGGCTGCTGGGGCTCCCTGGCCTTCAGCAGGGGCAGTTGAGCCAGCTATCTGCTGCCATCCTCCCTCAGAGCAGCCTGGCCCAGTGGGGTGCCTCAGTGGCCATGCAGGCGGTGTCCCGGCGGAGGAGCGAAGTGCGGGTACCCTGGCTGCACAGCCTCGCAGCCGCCCAGGAGGAGGATCATGAGGACCAGACAGACACGGAGGGAGAGGACACGGAGGAGGAGGAAGAATTGGAGACTGAGGAGAACAAGTTCAGTGAGGTGAGGGGGAGAGTGGGAGCCTCAAGGTCCCCCAGCCCACAGAAGGGGTGAGAAGCAGAGGCATAGGGTGAACTCAGGGCCTCTGCCCCAGATGCAGGGGCACGGCATGTGCGTGCAACACCCTTCACCCCACCCCCAAATGCCCAGCTGGCGAGGGACTTCCATGTCATTCTCTCAGCTGACCCTTGCAACACTCTGTAAATAGGCAGGGCAGAGATTATTGTCCCATTTTGCAGGAGAAGAAACAGAGGTTCAGAGAGGGAATGTGACCTGTCCAAGGCCACACTGCTAGTGGCAGAATAGGCCTGAAGTTTTGTAAATTTGGTATTCTCATGCTTTCCCCTCTAGCCCTGGGGCTGGTGGGGAGGGAAGGGTCAGGGGAGTTACCACAGGAGGCACTGACCCTGCTTTGGCCCCCAGGTAGCAGCCCTGCCAGGCCCTCGAGGCCTCCTGGGTGGTGTGGCACATACCCTGCAGAAGACCCTCCAGACCACCATCTCGGCTGTGACATGGGCACCTGCAGCTGTGCTGGGCATGGCAGGGAGGGTGCTGCACCTCACACCAGCCCCTGCTGTCTCCTCAACCAAGGGGAGGGCCATGTCCCTATCAGATGCCCTGAAGGGCGTTACTGACAACGTGGTGGACACAGTGGTGCATTACGTGCCGGTGAGTACCACCCCTGGCAAACTGTTAGTGTCCCAAGGGGGCCTGGACATGGCAGATAAAGTAGATTTGACTGAAGGGGCTGCAGTCCCCCTCCTTTCCCCTACTCCTCTGGAGACCGCCCCCCACTCCAGTCCTCAGTGCCCTGGCAACATTTTAACATACTGGGCCTCTCCCAGCCCCAGGAGTATAGAGGCCCATGGCTCTGGCCTGAGGCCTCTCCCCACGGCCCCTCCCACCTGCTGGTAGAGGAGTCTCCAGCCATCAGTCCCAGGATCCCAGTGGCTCACCTTCACCCCTTTGCTCTCAACTGAAGGGCTGGGCGGGTTTGCATGCTGCTGCCTGGGAAGGGGTTGGAGAGGCTTCCAGGGCACCCTGAGGGGTGGGCCATGAGTTCCAGGGGACAGCAGCAGGCTCCACCCAATTCTATCACCTGTCACCAATAGGAAAAACCCAGGGGATACCAATGCCATCCCTTTGGGAGCCCCTTTCCAAAGCAGGTTACAGATTATGCAGGCCTGGGGGGCGGGGCTGGTCAGGGCAGAAAGCACCCTTAGAGCTGGTAAGGGGGTGGGTTACTCAGTCACTCTACCAAGCAGCATGCCAGGGATCTTAGCAGCCCGCCTGTTCATCCTGCGCTCGGGCCAGCCCCAGGAAGGTGTACCGGTCCCTGGCCAGGTCACTGTGTGGGCTGCAAGGAAGAGTTAGGAAAGCTGATGACCTCCCATTGAGGGTTCCCCTCAGGAAGGCCTAGGGGATCCTGAAACTTTGGGAGGCTTGGCTTGCCTGAGCAGCCTGGTCCATGGAGAAGCTCAGAGTGGGCAGGACCTCAGGGCTTTCCCCGGTGCCCCCCAAACTACTGAACCGCTCCCCAGCCTGTGTCCTCCTGACGGCCGCTCCCGGGGGAACAATCGAGGGGCCCGGGAAGGGGCGGTGGGTCAGAGGCGCAGGGCCCAGGGCCAAGCCAGGACTCTAAGGCGGCTGCCGGGCCCTCAGCTCCCCAGGCTGTCGCTGATGGAGCCCGAGAGCGAATTCCGGGACATCGACAACCCACCAGCCGAGGTCGAGCGCCGGGAGGCGGAGCGCAGAGCGTCTGGGGCGCCGTCCGCCGGCCCGGAGCCCGCCCCGCGTCTCGCACAGCCCCGCCGCAGCCTGCGCAGCGCGCAGAGCCCCGGCGCGCCCCCCGGCCCGGGCCTGGAGGACGAAGTCGCCACGCCCGCAGCGCCGCGCCCGGGCTTCCCGGCCGTGCCCCGCGAGAAGCCAAAGCGCAGGGTCAGCGACAGCTTCTTCCGGCCCAGCGTCATGGAGCCCATCCTGGGCCGCACGCATTACAGCCAGCTGCGCAAGAAGAGCTGAGTCGCCGCACCAGCCGCCGCGCCCCGGGCCGGCGGGTTTCTCTAACAAATAAACAGAACCCGCACTGCCCAGGCGAGCGTTGCCACTTTCAAAGTGGTCCCCTGGGGAGCTCAGCCTCATCCTGATGATGCTGCCAAGGCGCACTTTTTATTTTTATTTTATTTTTATTTTTTTTTTAGCATCCTTTTGGGGCTTCACTCTCAGAGCCAGTTTTTAAGGGACACCAGAGCCGCAGCCTGCTCTGATTCTATGGCTTGGTTGTTACTATAAGAGTAATTGCCTAACTTGATTTTTCATCTCTTTAACCAAACTTGTGGCCAAAAGATATTTGACCGTTTCCAAAATTCAGATTCTGCCTCTGCGGATAAATATTTGCCACGAATGAGTAACTCCTGTCACCACTCTGAAGGTCCAGACAGAAGGTTTTGACACATTCTTAGCACTGAACTCCTCTGTGATCTAGGATGATCTGTTCCCCCTCTGATGAACATCCTCTGATGATCTAGGCTCCCAGCAGGCTACTTTGAAGGGAACAATCAGATGCAAAAGCTCTTGGGTGTTTATTTAAAATACTAGTGTCACTTTCTGAGTACCCGCCGCTTCACAGGCTGAGTCCAGGCCTGTGTGCTTTGTAGAGCCAGCTGCTTGCTCACAGCCACATTTCCATTTGCATCATTACTGCCTTCACCTGCATAGTCACTCTTTTGATGCTGGGGAACCAAAATGGTGATGATATATAGACTTTATGTATAGCCACAGTTCATCCCCAACCCTAGTCTTCGAAATGTTAATATTTGATAAATCTAGAAAATGCATTCATACAATTACAGAATTCAAATATTGCAAAAGGATGTGTGTCTTTCTCCCCGAGCTCCCCTGTTCCCCTTCATTGAAAACCACCACGGTGCCATCTCTTGTGTATGCAGGGCTATGCACCTGCAGGCACGTGTGTATGCACTCCCCGCTTGTGTTTACACAAGCTGTGGGGTGTTACGCATGCCTGCTTTTTTCACTTAATAATACAGCTTGGAGAGATTTTTGTATCACATTATAAATCCCACTCGCTCTTTTTGATGGCCACATAATAACTACTGCATAATATGGATACGCCTTATTTGATTTAACTAGTTCCCTAATGATGGACTTTTAAGTTGTTTCCTTTTTTTTTCTTTTTTGCTACTGCAAACGATGCTATAATAAATGTCCTTATCAAAAATGTCTAGTGTACATGTGTGGCTATGTGTATATATATATATATATATATATATATGAGATAGACGCATGACTTGTAACCATGACATACTGGGTGAAAGAATATGTGCATTTTAAGCATTACTAGATAATACCAAGTAGCCTGCCAAACCAAACCCTATTTTTCTAGTTATTTTCACCTGCAGCTTCAGAAATATGCACAGAAAATTATGAGTCTTCAGTCAGTCCTTTTACACATCCATATATTTATACTCATCTTCCACAGGTCCCCCTCAGACACATAAGCACCCACTCTATTAGCTCCCACTCTATTGCACACCTGGAAGCCCCGCTCCCTGAAACTGACTCTGTGGCCCTGGAACTGACTCTGTGGCCCTGGCACTGACTCTGTGGCCCTGGAACTGACTCTGTGGCCCTGGCACTGACTCTGTGGCCCTGGAACTGACTCTGTGGCCCTGGCGCTGACTCTGTGGCCCTGGAACTGACTCTGTGGCCCTGGCGCTGACTCTGTGGCCCTGGAACTGACTCTGTGGCCCTGGCGCTGACTCTGTGGCCCTGGAACTGACTCTGTGGCCCTGGCGCTGACTCTGTGGCCCTGGAACTGACTCTGTGGCCCTGGCGCTGACTCTGTGGCCCTGGCACTGACTCTGTGGCCCTGGAGCTGACTCTGTGGCCCTGGCACTGACTCTGTGGCCCTGGAACTGACTCTGTGGCCCTGGCACTGACTCTGTGGCCCTGGAACTGACTCTGTGGCCCTGGCACTGACTCTGTGGCCCTGGAACTGACTCTGTGGCCCTGGCACTGACTCTGTGGCCCTGGCACTGACTCTGTGGCCCTGGCAGATCTTTGGTGTAATGAGTCATGGGCCTTTATCTGTGGTTTTGGAGTCTGAGGATGCCAAGAATGGTGACAGGAGAGAAGCTGGTAGATATACACATAAAGACGTGGCCAGGCCCCTGAACCAGCCATGGACCCTGACCACCCCACTTGCACGATATAAACTACACCCAGCAGTTCCCTGGGGGGTGGGGAGGGAAGATGGGGGGTGAAGTTGGCAAGAGGGGTTCTTAGAAGCTGATAGAACAGGGCTGAGCAGACAGAGCCCAGCACAGCCTTGGCAGAGCTCCCATGGACAGATGCTGGAGAAATGACCTCAGGCCTAGATGTGCAGAAAGAAACGCCTGCCTGTCCTGGGCCTCACCCACCCATGCAGCTTTCTTCCTGGTGCTCCGGAAACCACATTCCTAGCTCTTTACTCCTCCCCGGTCCTGCGGCTCCTCCTGCTAGGCTATACTCCGGAAGGCAGGAAAGCTGCCTCCTCAGCCGCCTGAGGGCTGTGGCCGCCAACATGCCTGCTGGTCAGGCCCAGTTCCTTCACCCAGCCCTGGGCCTGAGCACGGGTGCTGGAGGCCGCATATGGAATAGGACAGCCCAGGAAGCAAACAGTGTAAGTTATAAGTTTCTTTTTGCTCTTAGAAACCTCTTGATTAGGCAGCAAGGTACACTAAACCTGCTTCTCAGTATTTTGAACACATCTTGGCCAGTAACAAGGGCAAAGTAGCTCCTCTAAATGGCAGACATTTGCTTCCTTGGCTCTAGGCTCAATGGGGGACTTTCCTCTGTTCTGCGGGGCATCACTTTGGCAAGGTCCACCCATACTCAGTATCTTCAGTGTAGCTCAGGACCTAGCAAAGACCTCCACTTCACATCGGGTTGCCCAGGGTCCTTCAGAGAAATACCCAATGCCTTCCATCCTAGCTTACAAAACCCGCTTCTAACTCAGCCACAGCTTTTGGAGATGCAAACAATTACAGACAATAACATACATTTATCCAGGCAATTATTTACCCCTTTTCCCTCCCATAATTTTATTTTGAGACCGTATCACTCTGTCACCCAGGCTGGAGTGCAGTGGCAGGATCTCAGCTCACTGCAACCTCCATGCCCCCAGGCTTAAGCGATTGTCTTGCCTCAGCCTCCTGAATAGCTGAGATTACAGGTGTGCGCCACCATGCCCAGCTAATTCTCACATTTTTAGTAGAGACGGGGTTTCACCATGTTGTCCAGGCTGGTCTCGAACTCCTGACTTCAAGTGATCTGCCCACCTTGTCCTCCCAAAGTGCTGGGATTACAGGTGTGAACCACCATGCCTGGCCTTCCTCCCATAATTATCTAGGATCTTAATATCCAAGGGACTTCCGGGCATGGAGAGAGAGATACCACTATGACTTGTGCTTCAGTGCTCATTGTCTTAAGCATAACTTTCCTAACCATTTAATACTTCACACTTAATCAAAATTTATAAAATGCATACATCAAATTATTTTAAATATTTAAATGTTGATTAGGTGGCTCACACCTGTAATTCCCAGCACTTTGGGAGGCCAAGGCTGGCGGATCACGAGGTCAGGAGTTCAAGATCAGCCTGGCCAACATGGTGAAACCCCATCTCTATTAAAAATACAAAAATTGGCCGGGTGTGGTGGCACGCACCTGTAATAAGTGTAATAATTGCCAGCTACTCAGGAGGCTGAGGCAGGAGAATCGCTTGAAACCAGAAGGCGGAGGTTGCAGTGAGCCAAGATCACGCCATTGCACTCCAGCCTGGGCAACAAGAGCGAAACTCCATCTCAAAAAAAAAAAAAAGTTAGTTACAAACTAAAAAGTCAAATTCTTCTAAGCTTTTCTGTAAACTGGGTCAATGGAAACTTCTGCATACCTTGTTAGTATGTCATTAGAGCTAGTGCGGTCATCTAGAGGTTCCTCTGTGCGCAGAGAGGGGACCAAGACTGTGTGGTCAGCTCCCCATCTAGGATATACTATTGGACCCTTCTATTCACTGCTCTACATCCAGAACACAAGCAGTACCTTTAAAACATCCTGCATGACATCCACAATCCCTCCCCATCCCCAGCCCCAACCTGCCAAAACCACAGTCCTGAATTTTTTTGTTTCTCATTCCCTTGCTTTTCTTTATAGATTTACTTCCTATATATACACCCCAATACAATATGATTGAGTTTTGCATGCCTTGAGCTTTATTTAAGTGTGATTATATGTATTCTTGAGATTTGCTTCTTTTCACTCAAAATTATGTTTCTGAGCTTCATTTGTTTTCACTAGAGATTTTTATTCTAAAACTCTATATTTAATGAGTATATATAAATATGCCATAATTTATTCAGTCATTTGCATTAGAATGGATTCAGTTTTAAAAGACAGAAGGCTCCCAATAACAATGTATACTAGTCAGCTTTTGCCATGATACTGTTGCATAACAAACTATCCTAAGACTGTGGCTTACAACAACATGCATTTATTTTTATGTTCATAGGTCAACTATGGTTTAGCTCATCACTGTGGTACTCCCAATGGCTCTGCTTCAGCCTGCAGATCAGCTGAACTTGGCTCCAGGCTGTGCATGGGTTCAGTTCTGCACCAGGGGTGCTATTTCAGGGCTGCAGGATAAGGGCTCAGTGGCTATATGGGGCATACTCTTCTCACAACAGATCACTGGAGCACAGAACCAAGTCTCACCACAAGTCCTCTCCTTGTATCATATGTACTTACATTCCATTGGCCAAAGCAAGTCATACAGCCAAGTCCACATCAATGGGACAGGGAAGTAGACTTCTCCCCTAGTGGAAGGGGAAAGGGAGCAACTCTTTGCTGAACGATAGTACAGTCTAGCACACAGTGATAGGAGTTTATTTCTGTCTCCTGTAAAAGCCCAGAGATGAGTAGTCCAGACTGGGATGACACTCAGCAGTGCCAGGGGTTGAGGTTCCTTCTATCTTACTGTTCTGTCGTGAATGATTTCTTTTCCTAAACTCACCTCATGAGCCAAGATAGCTGCTCCAGCTCCAGCGATCAACTCCATATTCTAGCCACAGAAAAGAACAAGGAGAAAGGAGAATGGCATGCCTCCACACCAGAAATTACAACTACTTCTGCTTATAACCCACTGGACAGAACTTAGTCACATGACCACTCCTGGTTTAAAAGGGGGATGGGAAATATAGTTTTCATCTGGAGTGGCTATGCACCTAATTAAAAATCAGAAGTCCTAAATGGAGGGGAAGTAGATCCCAGGGATGGGGGTAACTTGTAATCTCTGCCACATCACTCTCCTGTCAATAGACATTTGGATTGTTTCCATATATATGTTTTTTGAGACCAAGTTTCATTCTAGTCCCACAGGCTGGAGTGCAGTGGTACGATCTTGGCTCACTTCAACCCCCACCTCCCAGGTTGAAGCGATTTTCCTGCCTCAGCCTCCCAAGTAGCTGGGACTACAGGCGCTCGCCACCACGCCAGGCTAAATTTTTGTATTTTCAGTAGAGATGGGTTTTCAGCATGTTGGCCAGGCTGGTCTCCAACTCCTGACCTCAAGTGATCCACCCACCTCGGTCCCCCGAACAGCTGGGATTACAGGCATGAGCTACCATGCCCGGCCTGTTTCCGTATTTTTACTGTTACATACTTTGTGATAATGAACATTCTTATAAGAGTTTCTCAGGGAATATGACTAAGAGTGGGATTCCTAAATGATAAAGTGTGTGTATCATTAACTAGATATTGACAAATTGCCATTCAAAGTGGTTGCTCTGATTGACATTCTCACCAGAAGTATATGAGTCCTCTTACCAGCATCCTCATCAGCACTTGATATTGTCTAATTTAATCACTTCATAAATCTGAGGAGAGTAAAACGGAATCTTGTCATGGACTTAATTCCCTGATTAGCAATGATATTGAACATTGTTTATTTAATATTTGCATTTCCTCTTTTGTGAAGTATTTGCCCTTTCTCTTCTCTTTTCTTTCTTCCCTCCCTTCCTCCCTCCCTGCCTCCCTCCTTCCTTCCTTCTTTCCTTCCTTTCTTTCTCTTTCTTTCTTTCTTTTTTCTTTCTTTCTCTCTCTCTTTCTTTCCCCTTCCTTCCTTCTTTCTTTCTTTCCTTCTTCTTTTTGAGACAGGGTCTTGCTCTGTCACCCATGCTAGAATGAATGGTTTAATCAATCATAGCTCACTGCAGCCTTGAACTCTTGGGCTCAAGCGATCCTCCTGCCTCAGCCTCCAAAAGTACTGGTATTACAGGTGTGAGTCATCATGCCAGGCCTAGTTTTTCTCAGTGATTTTTAGAACTTCTTTATATTTCCTGAATACTAACTCTTTATCAAGGATAAATATCACAAATATCTTCTTCCAGCTTGTTGCTTTTGTTTTCATTCTCTTTCTGGTTTCTTTGTTCATCCTTTCAATGAACAAAAGTTCTTAATTTTGATTTAGTCCCAATTACCACTCTTTCCCTTCGTGGTTTGCAGTTTTGAGTTATGATTTTTGTTTGTTTTTAACCTTTCCTGTGGTGCTGAAAGTTATGTTTTAAAAGCTCTCCCCTACCATGAAGGTATGATGATGCTCCCCTAATAATATTTGCCATGATGATTTTCCTCTAACGCTTTATCCATTTTACATTTCATTAATTATTATTATTATTATTATTTTTGAGACAGGGTCTCACTCTGTCACCCAGGCTGGAGTGCAGTGGCGCCATCACAGCTCACTGCATCCTTGACCTCTCGGGCTCGAGCTATCCTATCACCTCAGCCTCCAGGGTAGCTGGGACTACAGGTGCACACCACCATGCCCACCTGATTTTTGCATTTTTTTGTAGAGATGGGGTTTCGCTGTGTTGCCCAGGCTGGTCTCCAACCCTTCAGCTCAAGTTATCTGCCTGCCTCAGCCTCCCAAAGTGCTGGGATTATAGGCATGTGCCACTGCGCCTGGCCCAGCCCTACATTTAATTAATTTTTATAAGTATGGTTTAAGTAGGAATCCAATTTTTTTCTTCCACGTGGATAACTGTCTTATACATTTCCTAACTGAATTTTTAGTTGTGTTTTCTCTCTCTCTCTCTCTCTCTGGAGATGGGGTCTCTGTCATCCAGGCTGGAGTGCCGTGGTGTAATCACAGCTTACTGTAGCTTTGACCTCCCAGGTTTAAGCAATCCTCCCACCTCAGCCTCCAGAGTAGTTGGGACCACAGGTGCACACCACCAGGCCCAGCTAATTTTTTTTTATTTGTAGAGATGAGGTCTCGCTATGTTGCCCAGGCTGGTCTTGAACTCCTGGGCTCAAGCTATCCTCCCACTTCAGCCTCCCAAAGTGCTGGGATGACAGGCATGAGCCACCATACTCAGCCTTGAGTTTCTCTCGAAATAAACTGTATACTGCAGGAAGCTTAAGAGTTCTCTCGAATGTCAGCTGGAAACTTCTCATTTACTGATATCTGATGAACAATGGACCAGGTTCGGCCTGATGGATTGAATAGCTTTCCCCTACTGATCTGCACTCTCTACTCTGTCATAGATCTGGTTTCCAGATTTGTTCTATTTGTTATGCCTGTAGCATTAGCACATTGTCTGAATTACAATAGTTTCAAATATGTTTTCACATCTTCTTGGGCAAGTCCACCCATACTGCCCTTCTGCAAGTGTCTTTTGCAACTTCCGGCACTTTGCTTTTCCATGTAAGTAGTAAAATCAGCTTGTCAAATTCCACAGAAGGAATTTTTACCGACTCAATTTGTTTCAAGTAACTATAATTATTCTTTGCTCTTCTGAAGCTCATGATGTCACAAGTTGGCTGGTAAGAACCCCTTTAAGTTGGGGCTTTTGTCATTTCAGGCCTACAGTATACATTTTAAAAGCATCTGAATTTTTTGACCACAAAATAATTATTCCAGTTCTTACCCTAATACATGGAATCAGCTACTTTTAATGGAAAATAGTGATAAAGGCCACAATTTGGACACTCGGGTACACACCAGATTGTTGCATATGAGTGCTACTGATACACAGAAAAACACTGCACATCCACCAGAAAGAGCAAGAAAAAAGATAAATCTTTCTAAAATCATGAACATTGATAGTTCCACCATCATGAAATTCTTTAAAAATTTATTGTAACATGAAAGTTTTTATTTTCTCTACAATTTAATTACTATAATTGTAATTAGAATTGTACCTCTGTCTCTCTCTCTTTTTTTTTTTTTTTTTTTGAGACAGGGTCTCACTCTCTCACACAGGTTGGAGTGCAGTGGCACCATCTCGGCTCACTGCAACCTCCACCTCCCAGGCTCAAGCCAGTGTATCTTCCTACTTCAACCTCCCAAGTAGCTGGGACTATAGGCCCATGCCACTACGCCTGCCTATGTTTTGCATTTTTTGTGGAAACAGCTTTGCCCTATTGCCCAGGTTGGTCTCAAACTCCTGGGCTGAAGGGATCTGCCTGCCTCAGCCTCCTAGAGTGATGGGTTTACAGGCATGAGCCACCTTGGCTGGCCCAGAATTGTACCTCTTAAAGCATGATGTTTCATTAATCATCATCACCTTTTATTACATTTTACACATATGAAAATCCAAGTTCAGTTTTCAGCTTCTTCACATTTTCAGGGTCTAAAATGATTCTCTTTGGGCATCACGGCGGCAGGCTGCTCTGTGTTGTTCTTGTTCAGGACCCCAATTGATTTAGAATATTTGGGAACAACAGTGTCATTCTACAGCATGTCAAAGAACACTGGGGTTTCATGTGCTCTTTCCAATTGCTCGAGGTTTTAGTTTCTCCTTAATTGAATTGTCTATTGGAGGAAATGGCACAGCTCCTGGCATCTGACAGATAGATGCTTGGTACCTGAATCATGGTCCTTTGTGATACACGAATCAGTTGGCCAGCCTCTCCTCTATGAAGCTTCGAGGATGTGGTTGTGGAGATTGTGGATGACTTTCCTATATCCACGCTGTCTCACACTGGTATTGCAAGCCAATCATGGTAGTTCCATCCCCTTGACAGTGATTAGTTTGGGGGTGGACAGGCCTAAGCTGTGTGGTACATGGAATGGGAAGGAAATCAGCTTGGAGTGCTCTTGATCCAAAGGGCATGCTTCACCACACACTGCTGTCTTCTTCCTCTGGACGTTTTGTGTCTGAAGTTGATGGCAAAAAAAAAAAAAGAGTTAAAAAGGCCACCTCCTTGGTAATGTTGCCACTGACTCAACCTGCCCAGGAGCCCTCATCCCTCTGGGTTTCACTGTTCCCCGAGATAACACATGACCTTATGGTTCAAGCCACTTCAAATTGTGGTTTCTGTTACTGGAGGCTGAGGGTTTCCTAATATAGATCTATCTGACGAGCCTGGCAATTTCTATGGCCTTTAATTATGTTGCCTGTCTATGACAGGTAATCTTCTATATACATAATAAAATTTCACTAGAAACTACACTGGAGTTTACTTTTTCTAATGGCGTTTTAAGTGACAAATATGTTTTCAGATTTTAAAATTCACCCATTCATGGTGCTTCCAGTGCAAACAATGGATCAGAGGTCTCAGAGGTGAAGACACCAACCATCTCTTTGAGGCTGCCGTGGACACCCCCAGATCACCTCTCCTGCCCCTCCTGGTGCCAAGTTTCCCTTGACAATGAGTGTAAGATGGAACTCAATTTTAGGAATGCTAAAATGTGAGAAAAAGAGAGTCTTATAACTGAGAAAACTTTTTTAAACGTGGGGAGATTAAAGTTTCTGCCGGCTGTGTGAGTGGCGTGCAGGAGGCGTGGTTTGGGACTGGGAGTGGAAAACAGAGACCGGGGATGAAGGTGACTCGGGGCTGAGGACAGGATGGTCTGGAGTCCAGTTTGGAGACAAATTCTAGAAAATAAGGCGATGCCATCATGAGGATGCTGCACACTCTCCAGGCCCAGCCCTTGAGCACGGGCCCCGCCCGCCCTGTCTGCGGGCCGACTCCGCGACGCCGACCGGCTCGCGCCTCCGCCCCCGAGCGCCCCGGCGGGCGGAGTTGCGGGTGAGGGGGGGGCTGGTTTGGGGGGCGGGGGTCCCGATGACGGCATCGGAGCGCGCCGCACTGGGGATGGAAACCTGACTGCCTGGCCCGGGACGGCGCTTGCAGCCAGGCAGGTGAGTGTGGGCCGGAGAGCGGGTTAGGGGCGAGGACCGGGTGGGTGGAGGGAGGCGCGCGCTCCCTCCTCGCGCAGGCCTGGGCCTAGTGGCCCTGGGAGCCGGCACTCCTGGGAGACCTGACCCGGCATGAGGAGCCCGGCACCCTTGCTCCCCAGCCTCCTGGAAGCTCTTCCTTGGACTGGCCGGCGCCGTCTTCCCGACATCTGGGGGCTGAGGCCGGCATCCCGGGCCTGCGTGGAGGGGCGAGCGCCAAGGCTGCGAGAGTCGGGTCCCGATTTGTAATCACTTCTTCCAACTTTCATGGAGCTCCGTCCCGCGCCCGCCGCCTCCAGCCCCAGCTGCCCTGCCCCGGCTCCGAATAGCGCCTGCGGGGTTGTCAGAGCACCTTCGGAGCGGGAGCGCTGTGCGGAGAGCAGGGGCGCGCGGAAGCCGGGACTGCACCGGGCTCGGAACGCTCACGCGGAGGGGTGCGCGAAGGCCCACACGGTATTGCGAGGCAGAGTTTACCGCTGTGTGCCCAGGGTCGGGAGCCCAATAGGGGCTGGGTGATTGAATTAACGAAAGGTTACTGTGCTGAGAGAGAGGTTGAAGGGTAAAGAATGAAGTGCCGGGCTGGCGGTGGGGGTGAGGAACGCGGTAGGAGGAGGGAGGGCAGGGAAAGTTCCCTGGATGAAGATTATCCATCACTATCTGTTGGGCAGCGTGGGACCTTGTGTTGGGCGCTGGTGATAAAGTGCAAAGTGGACCCAGAGGGTCCCTGCCTTCCAGCTCCTGGTCTGGGAGGTCGGGGAGAGAAGCGGGTAGTAACCTGCAGTTGGAGTGGTCACGGGCGGGTGGAACAGCACTGGGGGTTGTGTGCGTGTCGTGGTGGGGTTACAGAGGAGGGGAGCTTCCGTGGCTCCCTGAATTAGAAGGTGGCTGCAGCCTCAGCCGGGAGGGATGAGGAGGCTTGGGTAACACCTAGCCGTTGCAGGCAGAGAGAGGAGGCGAGGAAAGGCCTGGGGTGTGGGAAGTGAGTAGTCCAGGGAGGCAGGGCCTGATTTAAGGCTTGTCTTTTTTTTTTTTCCCCTTAATATTTTGAATCCCAGGCCGGGCACGGTGACTTACGCCTGGAATCCCAGCACTTTGGGAGGCCGAGGCGGGCAGATCACGAGGTCAGGAGATCGAGACCATCCTGGCTAACACGGTGAAACCCTGTCTCTATGAAAAATACAAAAAATTAGCCGGGCGTGGTGGCGGGCGCCTGTAGTCCCAGCTACTTGGGAGGCTGAGGCAGGAGAATGGTGTGAACCCAGGAGGCAGAGCTTGCAGTGAGCGGAGATCGGGCCACTGCAGTCCAGCCTGGGCAACAGAGCAAGACTCCGTCTCAAATAAAAAACAAAACAAAACAAAAACAAAAACAAAAATATTTTGAATCCCAAGGGCAGTGGAGAGCCTTTTTTTGGGGGAGTTGGGGTTAGGCAGGGAGTGAAATAATTGCATTTGCATTTTGAGAGATGCCTCTGAGGCGCAGTGGCTGATGCCTGTAGTCACTGCACTTTGGAAGGATCCCTTGAGCCCAGGAGTTCAAGACCAGCCTGGGCAACATAGCCAGACTGTCTCTACAAAATACTAATACTAATACTAATACTAATACTAATACTAATACTAATAATAAAATTAGCCAGGTACATGTCTGTGGTCCCGGCTACTCTGAAGGCTGAGGTGGGAGGATCACTTGAACCTGGGAAGCCTTGGCTACAGTAAGCAGTGATCATGCCACTGTACTCCAGTCTGGGTGAAAGAGAGAGACCCTGTCTCAAGAAGAAAAAGAAAGATGTCCCTGGTTGCCCTGCGGGAGGGGACAGGGAGACTGATGCCAGGGGGAAGGCTGCTCAAAGTCATCCTGGCACGATGTCAGTGGCCAGGACCAGGGCTTTAGCAACAGAATGGGAAGCAGCAGGTGAACTTGAGAGATATTTAGGAGATGGAATTGGCAGGATTTGGTGGTGAGAGCTTGGTCTTGAAGGATCTGTTGACTTTTTTGAAGAAGGTGGGGCAGGGGATGTGAGTGACTTGACACAAAGACTGTGGTAAACCCAGTGGGTGTTAGGGACAGGAGTTCCCTGGTGTGGTGTGGTGCTGTGTGTGTGCGTTCTTCTAGGAGATGGGGCCATAGGGGCCATAGGGAAGAGTGCAGCTGAAACACTGGAGTTCAGGAGTTAGGGCCTCATTTCGCCAGTGCCGGAAGCCATGACATGTTCCTGTGGGGGACTATATATATCATGGCCCTTGCAATTTTTGAGCACCAGGTTGGACATGGGGATATTGTGAACTTTGACCACCCTCCCCCAATCCCTCCAAGGTCAGGAGCTGCAGGATCTGGCTCGAGTCCCCTGCAGGGTGAGTCCAGCTCCTGGAGTACAAGTGCTGATGGCCAGGGCTTCTCTCTCTCTCCACAGGGCCCAGAGCAGTCCTCCCTCGGCATGGGGCTGGAGGCTCAGAGGCTGCCAGGGGCTGAGGAGGCCCCAGTGCGGGTTGCCCTGCGAGTTCGACCACTGCTGCCCAAGGAGCTGCTGCACGGGCATCAGAGCTGCCTGCAGGTGGAGCCAGGGCTTGGCCGCGTCACTCTGGGCCGTGACCGACACTTTGGCTTCCACGTGGTGCTGGCCGAGGATGCGGGGCAGGAGGCCGTGTACCAGGCCTGCGTTCAGCCCCTCCTTGAGGCCTTCTTCGAGGGCTTCAATGCCACTGTCTTTGCCTATGGTCAGACGGGCTCAGGGAAGACATACACCATGGGGGAGGCCAGTGTGGGTGAGTGACCCTGTTCGTGGCCCTGTGCCCACTTTAAGGAGCCTTAGTTCCTTCCTGGATTTCTGCCTTGTCCTCTTGCTGCCTGTTCTGTGGAAGGTGGGGATGCTGGGGGAGGAAGAGTCGATTTCCTAGACAGGGATCTGTGGCCCAGGCTGGGACCAGCCATGTCTGTGGGCTAGGCAGGGCAGGAAGGAAGGGTCGTTGGAGGTGAGTGGCCTTCTCACCTCCATAGAGATGGCGCCATGCTGCCTGGCTCTGGGGACCTCAGCAGAGGAAGGGCACGGGAAGGTGGCGTGTCTCTAGAGGTTGTCAGGCTGGCTAGGGAAGGTCAGGAATCTGTTCTAGCTGGAGCAGTTGGGAATGGGGGCCGTGTGTCCTGGAAGAGGCTGCTTTGGATACTGCACAGCAGGGCTGCAGGGTGCTTCAGCCAGGCTCTGGAGCAGTTTCGAGAAAGATCCTTTGGGCCAACTGAAGGAAGTGTCCCCTTTTAAGTAACACAAGCTGTTTTCTGTCGGGTTACTGCCTTGCTCTGCTCCCTTCACTATAACAGAATACCATAGACTGGGTGGCTCCTCAAGAGAAATTTATTCCTCACAGTTCTGGAGGCTGGGAAGTTTAAGATGAAGGCACCAGCAGATTGAAGGGCCTTCTTCCTTACAGACAGTCGCTGTCTCTCTCTAAACTCACATGGTAGTACACAGAAGGGGTCTCTCTCAGCTCTCTTTTATAAGGGAACTAATCCCATTTATGAGGGCTCCCCCCATCCACTTCCCAAAGCCCTCACTTCCATCATATTGGAGGTAAGGATTTCTACATGTGAATTTTGGGGAGCATAAACAAATTCAGACCATAGCAGTTACAGAAAGATACTTTGTGTAAAAAAAATTAGGAAAATACAGCAAAACACATGCACGAAATAAAATGTACTTGATAATTGCCTTTCGGAAATCCCCTGCCCTGTTAGCCTTCCAGTTTCTTTCCCTGGGAAGATTATTTTACTTTTCAAAAATGGGATTATATTATATACATTCTTTTGTGTCCTGTTTGATTTTCTTAATAATGTATCATTGGCCAGGCACAGTGGCTCACGCCTGTAATCCCAGCACTTTGGGAGGCGGAGGCAGGCAGATCACCTGAGGTCAGGAGTTCGAGACCAGCCTAGCCAACATGGCAAAACCCCATCTCTACTAAAAATACAAAAACTGAGCCGGGCGTGGTGGCTCACACCTGTAATCCCAGCACTTTGGGAGGCCGAGGTGGGCAGATCATGAGGTCAGGAGATCAAGACCATCCTGGCCAACATGGTGAAACCCTGTCTCTACTAAAATACAAAAAATTAGCTGGGCGTGGTGGTGCATGCCTGTAGTCCCAGCTACTTGGGAGGCTGAGGCAGGGGAATCGCTTGAACCTGGGAGGCAGAGGTTGCAGTGAGCCGAGATCTGGCCACCGCACTCCAGCCTGGTGACAGAGCAAGACTCCGTCTCAAAAACAAACAAACAAAAAACTGGCCAAGCATGGTGGTGGGGGTCTATAATCCCAGCTACTCAGGAGGCTGAGGCAGGAGGATTGCTTGAACCCAGGAGGCAGAAGTTGCAGTGAGCCAAGATTGCTTCACTGCATTCCAGCCTGGGCAACAGTGAGATGCCATTTCAAAAACACAACAACAACAACAAATGTATCATGAACATTTCTCTGTATCATGAAATATTCTTCAATCTAACTTTTTAGGCCAGGCGCAGGGGCTCACACATGTAATCCCATCACTTTGGGAGGCTGAGCTGGGAGGACTGCTTGGGCATAGGAGTTGGGAGACCAGCCTGGGCAACACAGCAAGACCCTGTCTCTACCAAAAAAAAAAAAATCTAACTTTTTAATGGCTACCTGGCATTCCATTGTGAATATAAAATAGTTGGTTAGGTGCGGTGGCTCATGCCTGTAATCCCAGCACTTTGGGAGGCTGAGGCCGGCGGATCACGAGGTCAGGAGTTTGAGACCGGCCTGGCCAACATGGTGAAACACCATCTCTACTAACAATACAAAAATTAGCTGGGCATGGTGGCAGATGCCTATAATCCCAGCTACTCAGGAGGCTGAGGCAGGAGAAGCGCTTGAAACCGGAAGGTGGAGGTTGCAATGAGCCGAGATCACGCCACTGCCCTCCAGCTTGGGCAACGAGAGCAAAACTCAGTCTCAAAAAAAAAAAGTTGATTTGGCCAGATCTCCTATTGGATCTTCGGATGGACACTTAGGATGTTTGCATTTTTTGAAGTCATGAGGAAGAGTGCTGCTCTGAAGTTCCTCTGATTATTTCCTTGGGATAAATTTAGGAGGCCCTTTAGATAACTGAGCATGGATTAGGAGTAATCAAGGCAAGGTTATTTGATAATCTGTTGAGGATGCAGTGAAGGGGATGCTTACAGCATGAAAGGGGTTGATTGAATCAGGAGAGGTTGCTTCCAACTCTTAAATTTTATAATTCTGCCTGACCACGCTGGAGCATGGCCAAGCTCAGGCCACCTGTCCCATCCTGGCCTCGGCCACTGCCTTCTCCATCCTAGAGCACCATCCTCCAGCTCTGGCAGGGGCCTATGAGCTTCCGGGCCTGGGGGCCATGGGCCGTGTCCAGCTGAAGTGGCAGGAGGCCCTGCGGTGTCTCCCCAGCCTCCCTCCTTGAGGATGAGCAGGGCATTGTCCCGAGGGCCATGGCCGAGGCCTTCAAGCTCATCGATGAGAACGACCTGCTTGACTGTCTGGTACATGTGTCCTACCTGGAAGTGTACAAGGAGGAGTTCCGAGACCTGCTCGAGGTGGGCACTGCCAGCCGTGACATCCAGCTCCGGGAAGATGAGCGCGGGAATGTTGGTGAGGAACTCTGGGGTCCTCCACTGACGGAGAGGGGCTTAGGGGGGCTTCACCTGTTTGGAGTGGAGTGCTTACCTGTCTGGGAATGGCAACTCCTCATGGAAAACCCAAGCCCTGGGAGGTTTTGCTTTAGCTTCTTGCCTCCACTGAGTTCAGTACATGCTTCTATACCCAGAGTGAGAGGCACTGAGGTGGGCCAGTGGGAAGCCGGAGCCCCTCAAGCCGGAACTAGGAAGGGCAGTACCCCGTGGGCATGGGGAGGGAGCAGTGGGTCAGGAAGGGCAGGTTTGGGGCTAGTTCTGCTCTGCCTGCCCTCCTGGCTGGTCAGTCTGGCGGCCCCTGCCCTGGGGCTCACGGCCTTCTGTGCCCGCAGTGCTGTGCGGGGTGAAGGAGGTCGACGTGGAGGGCCTGGATGAGGTGCTGAGCCTCCTGGAGATGGGCAACGCGGCGCGGCACACGGGAGCCACGCACCTCAACCACCTGTCTAGCCGCTCACACACGGTCTTCACCGTGACCCTGGAGCAGCGGGGGCGCGCCCCCAGCCGCCTACCCCGCCCCGCCCCGGGCCAGCTGCTCGTCTCCAAGTTCCACTTCGTGGACCTGGCGGGCTCAGAGAGGGTGCTCAAGACGGGCAGCACCGGCGAGCGGCTCAAGGAGAGCATCCAGATCAACAGCAGCCTCCTGGCGCTGGGCAACGTCATCAGCGCCCTGGGGGACCCTCAGCGCCGGGGCAGCCACATACCCTACCGCGACTCCAAGATCACCCGGTGAGCTGCCCCCTGGCTCCTATGTGGCCTGGGGGCCGGGGAGGCGGGGAGTGTCCAGCACACCAGTGGGGGTGGAAGCCCAGGTCCCCTGAGGTCTCCAGCCCACGGGAACCGCGCCAGGAGCCGGTCCCAGGTCTGGCCCGCTGGCCCTGGGCCTGGAGCGTCGGGGCCCCTGAGAGCCTCCCCCTCGCGCCCTCAGGATCCTCAAAGACTCGCTGGGCGGGAACGCCAAGACGGTGATGATCGCCTGCGTCAGCCCTTCCTCCTCCGACTTCGACGAGACCCTCAACACCCTCAACTACGCCAGCCGCGCCCAGAACATCCGCAACCGCGCCACGGTCAACTGGCGGCCCGAGGCCGAGCGGCCACCCGAAGAGACGGCGAGCGGCGCGCGGGGTCCGCCACGGCACCGCTCCGAGACCCGCATCATCCACCGCGGCCGGCGCGCCCCAGGCCCAGCCACCGCCTCCGCGGCGGCCGCCATGCGCCTGGGCGCCGAGTGCGCGCGCTACCGGGCCTGCACCGACGCCGCCTACAGCCTCTTGCGCGAGCTGCAGGCCGAGCCCGGGCTGCCCGGCGCCGCCGCCCGCAAGGTGCGCGACTGGCTGTGCGCCGTCGAGGGCGAGCGCAGCGCCCTGAGCTCCGCCTCCGGGCCCGATAGCGGCATCGAGAGCGCCTCCGTCGAGGACCAGGCGGCGCAGGGGGCCGGCGGGCGAAAGGTGGCCGAGGGACAGGTTGTGGTTGTGGTTGTGGGCAGTGGGGAGTGGTGGAGAGGAAGGAAGAGGGTCTTCAGACAGCAGCTGCGCCCCTGCCTCCTGCCCATTAGCAGGGCACGTTCGGGATTCGGTCACTTCTGCTGATTACCGTGGTCACTTCCTTAACTTCACCGAGTCTCAGGTCTCCAGCTGTAAAATAGGGATAACCGTAGGACTTACCCCATCTCTTAGTGGGGATGTTGTAAGGGCTGAGGGTGTCACATGTGCCTAGCATGCCGGTGAAGACGCAGTAAATTGTTCCTAATAATAGTGGTGATATTATTAATACAAATACGATGGATAATTACAAGAGATGACCCAAATGGCTTGCAGAGGGCACCCAGGCCAGCTGGGGTCTGGGGTTTCCTCCCACCAGTGGGTCTGGAGTTCCCACTGCAGGTAGGGCTTGGAAGAGTAGATAGAAAGCAGGGCTAAACAAGAAGAGGCCGGGTGTCCAGCTCGCCCTGTCAACCCCCGCCCCTGAAGCCCCTCTCCCTGCCCTATAGGAGGATGAGGGGGCGCAGCAGCTGCTGACCCTGCAGAACCAGGTGGCGCGGCTGGAGGAGGAGAACCGAGACTTTCTGGCTGCGCTGGAGGACGCCATGGAGCAGTACAAACTGCAGGTGCGGCGCCCGCTTCACAGTGCGGGGAAGGCTTCCCAGAGGAGGATGAAGGGAAGGCAGAGCTGAGTTTCTCAGGATGGGAGGGAGTTAGGGTAGGGTACTGCGGGGTAGGGGTGTAGAGTCAGGAGGTGCACATGAGCGAAAGTGTGGAGGTGAGCATCACAACAGCGCAGGTGGGTGTGCAGGACCGCCAGGCAGGGCAGCTTTGCTGGGTGGTGTGAGCTTGGACGGGAGAGGGGACAGGAGGGGCAGCAGCGGGGGACCTTGGAGCCGGGCGTCACCAGGTCAGCATTGCTCCTGGCGCCCTCTGGTGGCGGCGGTTGGAGGTGGCGGTCTGGCAGGATAGGAGTGTGATGGGATCTGTGGGGTGAGTTTGAGTCTGAACTCCTACAGAGTTGTTGGGGAGGAGAGGAGTATTTGACACTCCTCATTTTCAGCCCAGAGACGGTGGAGTGGCCTCAGACCTGTTCCTCAGTTTCCTACACTCCTGCCTGTCGGGGCATTCATGCCCCCTTGGCACCTGGACCATGTCTTGCAGAGCGACCGGCTGCGTGAGCAGCAGGAGGAGATGGTGGAACTGCGGCTGCGGTTAGAGCTGGTGCGGCCAGGCTGGGGGGGCCCGCGGCTCCTGAATGGCCTGCCTCCCGGGTCCTTTGTGCCTCGACCTCATACAGCCCCCCTGGGGGGTGCCCACGCCCATGTGCTGGGCATGGTGCCGCCTGCCTGCCTCCCTGGAGATGAAGTTGGCTCTGAGCAGAGGGGAGAGGTGAGAAGAGGGTGAGGCTGGGTGTCTGTGGGCCCTGCTGGACTGGTCAAGTTCGGGGCAGGGGAAGGGGGCACTGGGGCACGTGTCCCCCACTCATGCTTTCATGGGACTGGCTGTGAGATGCGAGAGGCTGCTTTCAGCTGTCCCCAGAGGAAGAGCCAAGATTTGAATGACTCTGGGCCTCTCAGAAGGGTGCAGTGCCATCGGGCATCCCTGGGGTAGCTGAAGATCGCTTGGAATGAGGAGGTTACAGAGGGGGTTCAGGCTTCCGGCATCGGGTGGAAACCTTGCACACTTCTGCATACGGAGAGCTCATCACCTTTCAGACCACCCCCTCTGTCTTTGGATGGCTCTCTTTGCAAGTTCACTTTTCCACGTGGGGAACCTTGTTTGGACAAAGGTTACTCCTGCCTGAAAGTTCTGGGTCCTCTGGGGCTTTTAGGCCTGGGTCATCTCAGCTCTCAAAGCTGGGGGTTGGCAGAAGTCTCATGTTCACCCATCACTCTGGCAGGGAATTGGTGGTGAGATAGGACTTGGGTGCACATGACCTGTACACAAGGTAGAAAGGGCAGATTGTCACCTGAGGAGTACCAGGTATCATGGGAGCCAAAGCAGGCGGGAGGGGAGGGGAGGGAGGAAGCTCTCACCCCAGCTTGAGATTCAGAAGGCTGCCAGAGGGGTCATTTGAGCTGGATCACGAAGGTAAGGCAGGGCTTGAGGAGGGAGAGATATGAGGAGGGCAGGCAAGGTGGGGTATATCGCAGGGATGATGACTTGGGATGGGAAATGGCTCACTCCCCTAGCAGGTGACAAATGGCAGGGAGGCTGGAGCTGAGTTGCTGACTGAGGTGAACAGGCTGGGAAGTGGCTCTTCAGCTGCTTCAGAGGAGGAAGAGGAGGAGGAGGAGCCGCCCAGGCGGACCTTACACCTGCGCAGGTGAGTGGGACCCACTGCCCCCACCTGACAAGGACCTGCTCAGGGCCCAGGGCTAGGCAGGCTGGGGATCGCACCGTCTCCTCTCCTGACAGCAGTGGGGAAGCCTCTGGGTCCTAGGATGCCCTCATGTTGCCCTGGCCAGCCCCTGGGGGAGAGCTGTGGGGCACTGAGCCGAAAGGTCTCACTGGAGCGAGTGTGATACAAGGTGGGCCCAGGCCTCCTGACTTCAGCCTCCAGGGTGGCCCTCTATGCCCCCAGCTGCCCTGTACCTCCTAAAACTCTGCCCCTGGACTCCTGATTCTGCCAGACTCACATCCTGGGTTTATATTGACCCTGGGAGGTGGAAGACCCGGTGGCCTCTCTTCTTCCCTCCAGGCCTGGGGGTGGCTAGGCTGGGGCAGGGGCTGGGGAGGAGCATGGCCTCCTGCTTCTGTCCTCCAGAAATAGGATCAGCAACTGCAGTCAGAGGGCGGGGGCACGCCCAGGGAGTCTGCCAGAGAGGAAGGGCCCAGAGCTTTGCCTTGAGGAGTTGGATGCAGCCATTCCAGGGTCCAGAGGTAAGCTGGGTGGGATGCAGAGAGGGCCTCCTCCCCACTGCCCCTCCACGGTTCTGGGCCAGCCACCTTGGGACAGTCCCACCCACCATCCCTGGCAGCCCCTGCTCTCCACTCCTCTGTCTCCCCCACTGTCAGTTGGGGCAGCAACCTTGACAGGCTGCCTGTTGCAGCAGTTGGTGGGAGCAAGGCCCGAGTTCAGGCCCGCCAGGTCCCCCCTGCCACAGCCTCAGAGTGGCGGCTGGCCCAGGCCCAGCAGAAGATCCGGGAGCTGGCTATCAACATCCGCATGAAGGAGGAGCTTATTGGCGAGCTGGTCCGCACAGGTGAGGCGTGGGCATCAGGTGGGCCTCTCACCCGAGGGGGACTTCTCATCGTTACTTCTGCACTGTTCTAGAGGGATTTCAACAATGAGGTGGTTAGGAGCAGGGGCCGGATGGCCTAGGTTTGATACTCAGCCCAGCCTCTTCCAGCTGTGTGACCCTGAGCAAGTAGCATAAACCCTCCGTGCCTCAGTTTTTTCATCTCTAAAATGGGGATAGTCGTTATACCTACTGAATAGGGGTGTTGTGAGGGTGAAGTGAGTTAATTCAGGTGAAGTGCTTAGAATAGCTCTTAGTAAGCAGTACTTCTTTTTTCTTCTTTTTCTTTTTTTGAGAAAGAGTTTCACTCGTCACCCAGGCTGGAGTGCAGTGGCGTGATCTTGGCTCACTGCAACCTCTGCCTCCCGGGTTCAAGCGATTCTCCTGCCTCAGCCTCCCGAGTAGCTGGGATTACAGGCGCCCGCCACCACACCCACCTAATTTTTTTTTTTTTTTGTATTTTTAGTTGAGATGGGGTTTCACCATGTTGGCCAGGCTGGTGTTGAACTCCTGACCTCAGGTGATCCACCCGCCTCAGTGTCCACAAGTGCTGGGATTACAGGCGTGAGCCACCATGCCCGGCACTTCTTCTTACTTATCGAGTGCCTGCAATGTTTCAGCCATTGTGCTGGGCGAAGTATCTCTCAGTCCTGGGGAGCACACAGTGAGTGTCATGGAGGACTGAGCGTCTCCAAATTGTGTTATGCCTATGACTGGTGATATGAGTGAAGGAGGGGACACGGGGTAGTTTTAGGTGCTGGCCAGTGGAGCGTTTATATTTTAATAGTTAATGAATTTGTTACCAAATTCATCATAAATATTTTCAACCAGACATGAGACGAGTACCATGGGTCCCATATACCCATCCTCCAGACTTAGTAGTTACCAAGAGTTTTCCACAGTTGTTTTACCTCCTCTCCCTTTTTTCTTTGCTGAATATTTTGAAGGACATGCCAGACTTCATGTCCTTTCTTCCCTACACCTCCCAGTGTGCTGCTTTAAAAATAGGAACTTTTTTTTTTTTTTACTTAACTGTAATACCATCAGCACACCTAATGAAACTAATGTCCTCTTTTTTTTTTTTTTTTTTTCTGAGACGGAGTCTCACTCTGTTGCCAAGCTGGAGTGCAGTGGCACGATGTTGGCTCACTGCAACCTCTGCCTCCCGAGTTCAAGTGATTCTCCTGCTTCAGCCTCTCGAGTAGCTGGGACTACAGGCGTGTGCCAACACAACCAGCTAATTTTTGTATTTTTAGTAGAGACGGGGTTTCACCATGTTGGCCAGGATGGTCTCGATCTCTTGACCTCGTGATCCGCTCACCTCAGCCTCCCAAAGTACTGGGATTAGAGGCGTGAGCCACCGCACCCGGCACAGTCCTCTTAATGACCAGAGCATAAGCACATTCTCTCCATTATCAGCAGTGTCTGTTTATAGCTGGATCGCTTGAATCAGGCTCCACATTTGTTCCACACACACATCATACAGTCGTCACTTGATATCTATGTGGGATTGGTTCCAGGACCCCGTGAATGCCAAAATCTGTGGATGCTCAAAAAAGGTTTAGTAAATAATGTGGTATAGTATTTACAGTAACTGACCCACATCTTCCTTTAAATCACTTTAAATCATCTCTAGATTTCTTACAATACCTAATACAATGTAAAAGCTGGGTAAATAGTTGTTTTACTGTATTGTTTAGGTAATGATGATAAGAAAAATCTGTAAATGGTCAGTACACATGCAGCCATTTATTTAGAAAAATATAATTTCCATCCATGGTTGGTTGAACCCATGGGTGTGGAACCCACAGATGCAGAGGGCCGACTGTATTTGTTTCTGAGGTCTCTGACATCTCCCTTCTCTCAGTCATCCTGCTGAATGTCCCAAACCCCACGTTTGGGGTTTGTCTGTTTGCTTTTTTGTGGTGTCATTTAGCTCATTCTTTTGTCCTCCAGATTTCCTGGAAATGAAAGTTAGTTCTAAAGGCTTAATTATATACAGGTTCAGGTTACATATTTATTTTAGAATGCATTTGGTAAAAATAAAACTAATTTGTAATTTCCTTGGGTCGCTGCAGTGGATGAGGCTTATTTAAAAGGTGAGTTGAGGCTGGGCGCGGTGGCTCACGCCTGTAATCCCAGGACTTTGGGAGGCCAAGGTGGGTGGATCACCAGAGGTCAGGAGTTCGAGACCAGCCTGGCCAACATGGCAAAACCCAATCTCTACTAAAAATACAAAATTAGCCAGGTGTAGTGGCACGTGCCTGTAATCCCAGCTACTTGGGAGGCTGAGGCAGCAGAATCACTTGAATCTGGAAGGCGGAGGTTGCACTGAGCCAAGATTGCGCCACTGCACTCCAGCCTGGGCAAAAAGAGCAAACTCCGTCTCAATAAATAAATAAATAGAGTTGATTTGAAGAAAAATATTAAGTAAACTGTGGTACTGGTGGTGCAAAGGCTTGGTGAAACCCACACAGGTGTCCAAGGGCTGGGAAACCTCCCAGGGGGACAAACAGCTGGCCCTCTCGGTGGAGCAGGGCTGCCTGTGCTGACATTCCCGCTTTCTTCCAGGAAAGGCAGCTCAGGCCCTGAACCGCCAGCACAGCCAGCGTATCCGGGAGCTGGAGCAGGAGGCAGAGCAGGTGCGGGCCGAGCTGAGTGAAGGCCAGAGGCAGCTGCGGGAGCTCGAGGGCAAGGAGCTCCAGGATGCTGGCGAGCGGTCTCGGCTCCAGGAGTTCCGCAGGAGGGTCGCTGCGGCCCAGAGCCAGGTGCAGGTTAGTCTCGGGGCCTCAGGGTGGGGTGCTGGGGTGACTCCTGCCTCCTAGGCTGCCATCCTTGGGACCAGGACATGTGGGCTCTGAGGCCCAAGTTCACTGTGGAACCTTGTGCTCCAGCCCTGGCCCTGCAGGGTGAGGCTGGTATAGAAGCTGGGGGTCCGCCCAGCTTTACACACAGTAGAGGCAGGGGGCAGGTCCTGCCTGAAGACCACCTGGGAGAGCAACGAGAGGGTGAAGGGTGGGCGTCTAAAGAAACCTACCCTGCAGCGTGCAGTCCTCTGTCTCCCGGTCCCCCTTTCAGCTCTCCATTCGCTTACCCCTCCATCCCATTCTCCCTTGTCTGTCTATCCGTTGGTCCATGTGTCCGTCAAACCCATGCCATCGGTTTAGTCTTTCTTTGAGACAGAGTCTCACTCTGTTGCCCAGGCTGGAGTACAGTGCCACCATCCTGGCTCACTGCAACCTCCGCCTCCTGGGTTCAAGTGATTCTCCTGTCTCAGCCTCCTGAGTAGCTGGGATTACAGACACGTGCCACCACGCCCAGCTGATTTTGTATTTTTAGTAAAGACGGGGTTTCTCCATGTTAGCCAGGCTGGTCTTGAACTCCTGACCTCAAGTGATCCGCCCACCTGGGCCTACCAAAGTGCTGGGATTATAGGTGTGAGCCACCACGCCTAGCTGGTTTAGCCTTTTATCAGTGGATTGACCACCTGTCCATTTATCCACAGGTGCATCCACCCCTTCCATCCCCTTTTGTTAATTCATGCATTCTCTGTCTTAGTTTGCTACAGCTGCCATAGCAAACTTCCGTAGACTAGGGGGATTTAAACAGCAGAAGTTTAGTTTCTCCCAGCTCTGGAGGCTGTCAGTCCGAGCTCAAGGTGTCTACAGGTCTGGTTTCCCCTGAGGCCTCACTTCTTGGTGTGCAGACGGCCACTTCCTGGCTGTGTCTTGACACGGCCTTTCCCCTGCTTGTAGCCCTGGTATCTCTTCCTCTTGTCATGAGGACCCTGGTCATACTGGATTAGGGCCCACCCTAATGTCCTCATTTAAACTAATCACCTCTCTAAAGACCTTCTTTACAAACGCAGTCATATTCTGAGGTGCTGGTGGTTAGGGCTTTCATATAGGAATTTTGGGGAAACACAATTCAGCCCATCACGGTCTCCATCCTGTTGTTTTCATTTTTTATTTTTTGAGACGGAGTCTCACTCTGTTGCTCAGGCTGGAGTGCTGTGGTGCAATCTCAGCTTACTGCAACCTCCGCCTCCTGGGTTCAAGTGATCCTTATGCCTCAGCCTCCTGAGTAGCGGGGTGCCACTACAGGCAGGTGCCACCACACCTGGCTAATTTTTTTCTTTTTTTTTTTTTTTTTAAGTAGAGACAGTGTTTCACCATGTTGGCCAGGCTGCTCTTGAACTCCTGACCTCAGGTGATCCACTTATCTTGGCCTCCCAAAAGTTCTGGGATTGCAGGCATGAGCCACTGTGCCTGGCCTATCCTATTTTTTTACCTTCATATGATCTCGCCCACCTAGCCATCTGTCCCTCCCACCCTTCCATCCGTCCATCCTTGCAGATGCCCACCCATCCTTATTTTCTCAGTTCAAATGTCCAAGAGACAATATCGTGGAGTGGTTGAGAGCATGGGCTCTGGAGCCTGACTGCTCAGGTTTGAATCCCAGTTCTACCACTTACTAGCTATGTGTCGTTGGTCAAGTTTCCTAACCTCTCTGCCTCAGTTTTCTGATCTGTAAAATAGGGATAATCATAATTACACTTTTTGTAGGCTCATTAGGACCATTTAATATACACAGAGCTCTTAGTGTGGTGCCTGGTGCGTAAATGTCGTAGTATTTACCATTATTAGTATACTGTTATTATTATTATTATTTTTAATTTATTATTATTATACTTTAAGTTTTAGGGTACATGTGCACAATGTGCAGGTTAGTTACATATGTATACATGTGCCATGCTGGTGCGCTGCACCCACTAACTCGTCATCTAGCATTAGGTATATCTCCCAGTGCTATCCCTCCCCACTCCCCCCACCCCACAACAGTCCCCAGAGTGTGATGTTCCCCTTCCTGTGTCCATGTGTTCTCATTGTTCCACCCCCACCTGTGAGTGAGAATATGCAGTGTTTGGTTTTTTGTTCTTGTGATAGTTTACTGAGAATGATGATTTCCAGTTTCATCCATGTCCCTACAAAGGACATGAACTCATCATTTTTTATGGCTGCACAGTATTCCATGGTGTATAAGTGCCACATTTTCTTAATCCAGTCTATCATTGTTGGACATTTGGGTTGGTTCCAAGTCTTTGCTATTGTGAATAATGCCACAATAAACATACATGTGCATGTGTCTTTATAGCTGCATGATTTATAGTCCTTTGGGTATATACCCAGTAATGGGATGGCTGGGTCAAATGGTATTTCTAGTTCTAGATCCCTGAGGAATTGCCACACTGACTTCCACAATGGTTGAACTAGTTTACAGTCCCACCAACAGTGTAAAAGTGTTCCTATTTCTCCACATCCTCTCCAGCACCTGTTGTTTCCTGACTTTTTAATGATTGCCATTCTAACTGGTGTGAGATGGTATCTCATTGTGGTTTTGATTTGCATTTCTCTGATGGCCAGTGATGGTGAGCATTTTTTCATGTGTTTTTTGGCTGCATAAATGTCTTCTTTTGAGAAGTGTCTGTTCATATCCTTTGCCCACTTTTTGATGGGGTTGTTTGTTTTTTTCTTGTAAATTTGTTTGAGTTCATTGTAGATTCTGGATATTAGCCCTCTGTCAGATGAGTAGGTTGCAGAAATTTTCTCCCATTTTGTAGGTTGCCTGTTCACTCTGATGGTAGTTTCTTTTGCTGTGCAGAAGCTCTTTAGTTTAATTAGATCCCATTTGTCGATTTTGGCTTTGGTTGCCATTGCGTTTGGTGTTTTAGACATGAAGTCCTTGCCCATGCCTATGTCCTAAATGGTAATGCCTAGGTTTTCTTCTAGAGTTTTTATGGTTTTAGGTCTAACATTTAAGTCTTTAATCCATCTTGAATTGATTTTTGTATAAGGTGTAAGGAAGGGATCCAGTTTCAGCTTTCTACATATGGCTAGCCAGTTTTCCCAGCACCATTTATTAAATAGGGAATCCTTTCCCCATTGCTTTTCTCAGGTTTGTCAAAGATCAGATAGTTGTAGATATGCGGCGTTATTTCTGAGGGCTCTGTTCTGTTCCATTGATCTATATCTCTGTTTTGGTACCAGTACCATGCTGTTTTGGTTACTGTAGCCTTGTAGTATAGTTTGAAGTCAGGTAGTGTGATGCTTCCAGCTTTGTTCTTTTGGCTTAGGATTGACTTGGTGATGCAGGCTCTTTTTTGGTTCTATATGAACTTTAAAGTAGTTTTTTCCAATTCTGTGAAGAAAGTCATTGGTAGCTTGATGGGGATGGCATTGAATCTGTAAATTACCTTGGGCAGTATGGCCATTTTCATGATATTGATTCTTCCTACCCATGAGCATGGAATGTTCTTCCATTTGTTTGTATCCTCTTTTATTTCCTTGAGCAGTGGTTTGTAGTTCTTCTTGAAGAGGTCCTTCACATCCCTTGTAAGTTGGATTCCTAGGTATTTTATTCTCTTTGAAGCAATTGTGAATGGGAGTCCACTCATGATTTGGCTCTCTGTTTGTTGTTGGTGTATAAGAATGCTTGTGATTTTTGTACATTGATTTTGTATCCTGAGACTTTGCTGAAGTTGCTTATCAGCTTAAGGAGATTTTGGGCTGAGACAATGGGGTTTTCTAGATATACAATCATGTCATCTGCAAACAGGGACAATTTGACTTCCTCTTTTCCTAATTGAATACCCTTTATTTCCTTCTCCTGCCTAATTGCCCTGGCCAGAACTTCCAACACTATGTTGAATAGGAGTGGTGAGAGAGGGCATCCCTGTCTTGTGCCAGTTTTCAAAGGGAATGCTTCCAGTTTTTGCCCATTATGATACTGGCTGTGGGTTTGTCATAGATAGCTCTTATGATTTTGAGATACGTCCCATCAATATCTAATTTATTGAGAGTTGTTGAATTTTGTCAAAGGCCTTTTCTGCATCTATTGAGATAATCGTGATTTTGTCTTTGGTTCTGTTTATATGCTGGATTACATTTATTGATTTGCGTATATTGAACCAGCCTTGCATCCCAGGGATGAAGCCCACTTGATCATGGTGGATAAGCTTTTTGATGTGCTGCTGGATTCGGTTTGCCAGTATTTTATTGAGGATTTTTGCATCAATGTTCATCAAGGATATTGGTCTAAAATTCTCTTTTTTGGTTGTGTCTCTGCCCGGCTTTGGTATCAGGATGATGCTGGCCTCATAAAATGAGTTAGGGAGGATTCCCTCTTTTTCTATTGATTGGAATAGTTTCAGAAGGAATAGTACCAGTTCCTCCTTGTACCTCTGGTAGAATTCGGCTGTGAATCCATTTGGTCCTGGACTTTTTTTGGTTGGTAAGCTATTGATTATTGCCACAATTTCAGCTCCTGTTATTGGTCTATTCAGAGATTCAACTTCTTCCTGGTTTAGTCTTGGGAGAGTGTATGTGTCGAGGAATTTATCCATTTCTTCTAGATTTTCTAGTTTATTTGTGTAGAGGTGTTTGTAGTATTCTCTGATGGTAGTCTGTATTTCTGTGGGATCGGTGGTGATATCCCCTTTATCATTTTTTATTGCATCTATTTGATTCTTCTCTCTTTTTTTCTTGCTAGTGGTCTATCAATTTTGTTGATCCTTTCAAAAAACCAGCTCCTGGATTCATTAATTTTTTGAAGGGTTTTTTGTGTCTCTATTTCCTTCAGTTCTGCTCTGATTTTAGTTATTTCTTGCCTTCTGCTAGCTTTTGAATGTGTTTGCTCTTGCTTTTCTAGTTCTTTTAGTTGTGATGTTAGGGTGTCAATTTTGGATCTTTCCTGCTTTCTCTTGTGGGCATTTAGTGCTATAAATTTCCCTCTACACACTGCTTTGAATGTGTCCCAGAGATTCTGGTATGTTGTGTCTTTGTTCTCGTTGGTTTCAAAGAACATCTTTATTTCTGCCTTCATTTCGTTATGTACCCAGTAGTCATTCAGGAGCAGGTTGTTCAGTTTCCATGTAGTTGAGCGGTTTTGAGTGAGATTCTTAATCCTGAGTTCTAGTTTGATTGCACTGTGGTCTGAGAGATAGTTTGTTATAATTTCTGTTCTTTTACATTTGCTGAGGAGAGCTTTACTTCCAAGTATGTGGTCAATTTTGGAATAGGTGTGGTGTGGTGCTGAAAAAAATATATATTCTGTTGATTTGGGGTGGAGAGTTCTGTAGGTGTCTATTAGGTCCGCTTGGTGCAGAGCTGAGTTCAATTCCTGGGTATCCTTGTTGACTTTCTGTCTTGTTGATCTGTCTAATGTTGACATTGGGGTGTTAAAGTCTCCCATTATTAATGTGTGGGAGTCTAAGTCTCTTTGTAGGTCACTCAGGACTTGCTTTATGAATCTGGGTGCTCCTGTATTGGGTGCATGTATATTTAGGATAGTTAGCTCTTCTTGTTGAATTGCTCCCTTTACCATTATGTAATGGCCTTCTTTGTCTCTTTTGATCTTTGTTGGTTTAAAGTCTGTTTTATCAGAGACTAGGATTGCAACCCCTGCCTTTTTTTGTTTTCCATTTGCTTGGTAGATCTTCCTCCATCCTTTTATTTTGAGCCTATGTGTGTCTCTGCATGTGAGATGGGTTTCCTGAATACAGCACACTGATGGGTCTTGACTCTTTATCCAATTTGCCAGTCTGTGTCTTTTAATTGGAGCATTTAGTCCATTTACATTTAAAGTTAATATTGTTATGTGTGAATTTGATCCTGTCATTATGATGTTAGCTGGTTATTTTGCTCGTTAGTTCATGCAGTTTCTTCCTAGTCTCGATGGTCTTTACATTTTGGCATGATTTTGCAGCGGCTGGTACCGGTTGTTCCTTTCCATGTTTAGCGCTTCCTTCAGGAGCTCTTTTAGGGCAGGCCTGGGTGTGACAAAATCTCTCAACATTTGCTTGTCTGTAAAGTATTTTATTTCTCCTTCACTTATGAAGCTTAGTTTGGCTGGATATGAAATTCTGGGTTGAAAATTCTTTTCTTTAAGAATGTTGAATATTGACCCCCACTCTCTTCTGGCTTGTAGAGTTTCTGCCGAGAGATCCGCTGTTAGTCTGATGGGCTTCCCTTTGTGGGTAACCCGACCTTTCTCTCTGGCTGCCCTTAACATTTTTTCCTTCATTTCAACTTTGGTGAATCTGACAATTATGTGTCTTGGAGTTGCTCTTCTTGAGGAGTATCTTTGTGGCGTTCTCTGTTATTTCCTGAATCTGAATGTTGGCCTGCCTTGCTAGATTGGGGAAGTTCTCCTGGATAATATCCTGCAGAGTGTTTTCCAACTTGGTTCCATTCTCCCCGTCACTTTCAGGTACACCAGTCAAATGTAGATTTGGTCTTTTCACATAGTCCCATATTTCTTGGAGGCTTTGCTCATTTCTTTTTATTCTTTTTTCTCTAAACTTCCCTTCTCGCTTCATTTCATTCACTTCATATTCCATCACTGATACCCTTTCTTCCAGTTGATCGCATCAGCTCCTGAGGCTTCTGCATTCTTCACGTAGTTCTCGAGCCTTGGTTTTCAGCTCCATCAGCTCCTTTAAGCACTCCTCTGTATTGGTTATTCTAGTTATACATTCTTCTAAACTTTTTTCAAAGTTTTTAACTTCTTTGCCTTTGGTTTGAATTTCCTCCCATAGCTCGGAATAATTTGATCATCTGAAGCCTTCTTCTCTCAGCTCGTCAAAGTCATTCTCCATCCAGCTTTGTTCCGTTGCTGGTGAGGAACTGCGTTCCTTTAAAGGAGGAGAGGCGCTCCGCTTTTTAGAGTTTCCATTTTTTCTGCTCTGTTTTTTCCCCATCTTTGTGGTTTTATCTACTTTTGGTCTTTGATGATGGTGATGTACAGATGGGTTTTTGGTGTGGATGTCCTTTCTGTTTGTTAGTTTTCCTTCTAACATACAGGACCCTCAGCTGCAGGTCTGTTGGAGTACCCGGCCGTGTGAGGTGTCAGTCTGCCCCTGCTGGGGGGTGCCTCCCAGTTAGGCTGCTCGGAGGTCAGGGGTCAGGAACCCACTTGAGGAGGCAGTCTGCCTGTTCTCAGGTCTCCAGCTGCGTGCTGGGAGAACCCCTGCTCTCTTCAAAGCTGTCAGACAGGGACATTTAAGTCTGCAGAGGTTACTGCTGTCTTTTTGTTTGTCTGTGCCCTGCCCCCAGAGGTGGAGCCTACAGAGGCAGGCAGGCCTCCTTGAGCTGTGGTGGGCTCCACCCAGATCGAGCTTCCCAGCTGCTTTGTTTACCTAAGCAAGCCTGGGCAATGGTGGGCACCCCTCCCCCAGCCTCGCTGCCACCTTGCAGTTTGATCTCCGACTGCTGTGCTAGCAATCAGCCAGACTCTGTGGGCGTAGGACCCTCTGAGCCATGTGCGGGATATAATCTCCTGGTGTGCCTTTTTTAAGCCCATCGGAAAAGCGCAGTATTCTGGTGGGAGTGACCCGATTTTCCAGGTGCCATCTGTCACCCCTTCGTTTGACTAGGAAAGGGAACTCCCTGACCCCTTGCACTTCCCGAGTGAGGCAATGCCTCGCCCTGCTTCGGCTCGCGCACGGTGCGCGCACCCACTGACCTGCGCCCACTGTCTGGCACTCCCTAGTGAGATGAACCCAGTACCTCAGATGGAAATGCAGAAATCACCCGTCTTCTGCGTCACTCACGCTGGGAGCTGTAGACTGGAGCTGTTCCTATTCGGCCATCTTGGCTCCTGTGTCCTGTTATTATTTTTTGAGTCAGAGTCTTGCTGTGTTGCCCAAGCTGGAGTGCAGTGGCACGATCCCGGCTCACTGCAACCTCTGCCTCCCGGGTTCAAGTGATTCTCCTGCCTCAGCCTCCTGAGTAGCTGGGATTAGAGGCACCCACCACCAAACCCAGCTAATTTTTGTATTTTTAGTAGAGACAGGATTTCACTATGTTGGCCAGGTTGGTCTCAAACTCCTGACCTCAAGTAATCCGCCCGCCTCAGCCTCTCAAAGTGCTGGGATTACAGACGTGAGCCACCGCACCCGGCCTCTGTTATTATTATTGGTCTATCACCCACCTACCCATTTGCCCTCTATCTGCCTGCCCTTGTTGAGTGCCCAGCACTATGGCAGGCTCGCGGTAGCCCCGTGCATGGCCCAGTGAAGACTGTGTGGGTCCCAGGTGCTGAAGGAGAAGAAGCAGGCTACGGAGCGGCTGGTGTCACTGTCGGCCCAGAGTGAGAAGCGACTGCAGGAGCTCGAGCGGAACGTGCAGCTCATGCGGCAGCAGCAGGGACAGCTGCAGAGGCGGCTTCGCGAGGAGACGGAGCAGAAGCGGCGCCTGGAGGCAGAAATGAGCAAGCGGCAGCACCGCGTCAAGGTCAGGCTCACGGCAGGGTGGGGACCTTCTGTCCAGGCCAATAGGCTGAGCTGGCGGCCCAGCCAGGGGAGCCCAGGCAGGGTTTGCAACCCACAGCCACGTGACCTTAGAAAGCAGGTCACTTAGCCTGAGTCTGTTTTTTCATCTGAAAATGTGGAATGTTATAGGAAACTCAAGGCCAGGGTGAGACTTCAGTGAGATGAGGTATATGAGGTGACTGGCATCTTGTGGGGCTTATTTCTAAGTGTTTGCGTCTATTTGCCGGTCTCCAGGGAGATTTGTGTGGGATGGGTCTGGGGGACACTTCGCAGGGCCCTCTTGGGAGTGGGCAGGCACTCCTGGGGGCTTTGGGATCGGTGGCAGGCTCTGGTAAGATGCTGGCACCATAAACAGCCCTGCCCACTGAGCTCCTCACCCAGGAGCTGGAGCTGAAGCATGAGCAACAGCAGAAGATCCTGAAGATTAAGACGGAAGAGATCGCGGCATTCCAGAGGAAGAGGCGCAGTGGCAGCAACGGCTCTGTGGTCAGCCTGGAACAGCAGCAGGTGGGGCCAGGCTGTGTCCGCACCCAGGGCTCCCCTGGGGGCTGGCTGGTGGGTGCACCTTTCTCCCCAGTGAACCTCGAGTGGCGGCTGACACAGCCAGAGGTGGGCCCTGAGTTCCCTCCCTCCCTCCCTACTTTTCCTTAGAAGATTGAGGAGCAGAAGAAGTGGCTGGACCAGGAGATGGAGAAGGTGCTACAGCAGCGGCGGGCGCTGGAGGAGCTGGGGGAGGAGCTCCACAAGCGGGAGGCCATCCTGGCCAAGAAGGAGGCCCTGATGCAGGAGAAGACGGGGCTGGAGAGCAAGCGCCTGAGATCCAGCCAGGTGAGGCCCTGCCAGGAGAGATCCTGCCAGGTGAGGTCCAGTGAAGTGAGGTCCAGCCAGGACAGATCTTGCCAGGTGAGCTCCTGCCAAGTAAGTTTCTGCCAGGTGAGGTCTAGCAAAGTGAGGTCCTTCCAAGTGATAAACCTGCCAGGTGATGTCCCTGCCAGGCGAGGTCTAGACAGGAGAGTTTCTTCTAGGTGGTATCTCTGCCAGGTAAGTTCCAGACAGAGGAAGCTCTGTCCTACTGGGTTCTATCCTGTGCATCCCCATGAGCTGTAGGGCTTCAAGATATTTATGACACAGTTACAGATGTATGCATAGAAGAACCTCTCTTAAGTGTCCATCCTCCAATTCATTTCACTCATTAACCCCCTCCTCAGGGCCTGTGCAGGAAGAATGAGGAGGCGCAGGTATAGGAAGGTGGTATAGCCAAATAGAAAGAGACTTCTCCGCCTGGCATCATTACTCCATCTAGAATAGGAAGGTCAGCTTCTGAGCCACAGCGTTGTCTTCTGTCAGATGGGATCATAATGTTACCATGATGGCTGGAGGGGGATGGCCGTCATTGATGCAGGGCCTGTTCCAGTACAGGGGCTTGGGCCACACGCCCAGTGTCCTAGGCCCGCAGAGGCCAGGAGCCTTGCTCCTGCCAGCACGCATCACTCTGATGTCCAGGAGGATCCAGGGTCCTACTGGAATGATCCGTAACTTCCCTCCGCCAGGAGAGCCCTCACTTCCTCCCGCATCTGGCTCCCAGAAAGGCCTTTAGGGCTTGGCCAATTCCTATCACTGTCCAGTCCGGTCATCTCAGTGACAGATCATTCCTCCCACCCCTACCCATTGCCTGTTCTTGCCAGGAGGGCCACGTCCCTCTGGTCCTTATCCTCCTCTCGCCATCTCTGAGTGCCCCTCTGCAAATGCTCTGGTCCCTTTAGCCCCGCCTCCTGGAGTCTCTGTGAACTAAGTCTGGTCTCCCTGCTGAGCAGAACATTTGGAGTGTTGGTTTCTTGAGGGAAGGACGCAAGTCCTCCTTAACATCCGGCCCTTTCTGTCCCCCCTGTGAGGACAGTGCCTGTTCCTTCTCTAATCCCTGGTGATTCTGCCCCCAGGCCCTCAACGAGGACATCGTGCGAGTGTCCAGCCGGCTGGAGCACCTGGAGAAGGAGCTGTCCGAGAAGAGCGGGCAGCTGCGGCAGGGCAGCGCCCAGAGCCAGCAGCAGATCCGCGGGGAGATCGACAGCCTGCGCCAGGAGAAGGACTCGCTGCTCAAGCAGCGCCTGGAGATCGACGGCAAGCTGAGGCAGGGGAGTCTGCTGTCCCCCGAGGTACCCTGCGGCCCCATGGCTCAGCCCCTTGGTGCCATTGTATGCCTGTCTGTCTGCTCTCCTCAGCCCTTGCTCCAGCCCTCTGCGGGTGCTGGGCCTTGCTGTCGGCAGACCCAAGTTTTCACTGTTAGGTGGAGGTGGGGGCTGGGGAGGGCTGGCCTGGCCCTTCTGCCCCTGCTTTGGCCTCATTGGCTGGGACACAGGGGCCAGGCTGTGCTGACCTCTCAGCTCTCTTCTGGCTGGAGCCTGGACTCCTGTTCTGTGCTGCATTCGAGTACCTGCCCACACGTCTCGGCTTCGTGTGTGGAGTGTCAGGCGCATACTCAGTGCACCTCATGCCCACACATCTGTGTTCCCTGAGCAGAGAGAAAGCCTATGTGACTATAGTCATGTGCTGTGTGACATTTCAGTGAATGACAGCTCATACAACAATGGTGCTCCCAGAAAATTATAACACCGCATTTTTACTGTGCGTTTTCTATGTTTAGATACACAAATACTCACCATGGTTAACAACTGCCTACAGTATTCAGTACAGTCACATGCTGTCCAGGCTTGTAGCCTAGGTGTGTGGTGGGCTATACCATCTAGGTTTGTGTGAGTATATTCTGATGTTTGCACGACGTCGAAAACGCCTAATGATGCATTTCTTAGAACGTATCCCCATCTGTAGAAGCTTACCCAGCAGACACCGTGGTGCCTCCGTGGCTGTCCCAACCATGCCTTTTGTTTGGTTAGGGTGCTCTGAACTTCCTGAATGTAGATCATTCACAGAGGCTTGCAGTTGAGCAGGCCACCTCTGAGCAGTGCCCCCAGCTCACCCTGGGGTTGGGGCTGTGACAGTGAGCAGGGGGCACCTCTCTCGATGGGCTGACTTGGCCCTTGGGACGAGGGGACCCTTAAGGCCCAGTTGTGGCTACGTGTTGGCTGTTGCATGTCTGCCCAGGACTTCAGCATTCAGGCAGTGGGTGCTGTTCCTCCACGCGTGCCCGTCTCTGCAGGAGGAGCGGACGCTGTTCCAGTTGGATGAGGCCATCGAGGCCCTGGATGCTGCCATTGAGTATAAGAATGAGGCCATCACATGCCGCCAGCGGGTGCTTCGGGCCTCAGCCTCGTTGCTGTCCCAGTGCGAGATGAACCTCATGGCCAAGCTCAGCTACCTCTCATCCTCAGAGACCAGAGCCCTCCTCTGCAAGTATTTTGACAAGGTGGGCCAGCAGCCCATGGCCCCCCAGCTCCTCCTCAGCGGCACGTGTGGGGAGGTGTCTCATGGCAGCTGCTCCAGCGGATATCCCGTTTCCTCCCAGACTGGGGGACAGAATCAGGACCAACTCATCTGCAGGGCCGCCTGACCTTAAAGCCTATTTTACTTGTGAAACTAAGACCCAGTTTCCTACCCGCCCCCCACTTCTGCTCTGATTGGCTAACCTCAGGGTGGTCCATGGCCACAATAGTAGCTCTCAGTAGGGGAAGTTTTTGCCCTTTTGTGACATTTGGCCATGGCTGGAGATACTTTTGGTTGTCACAGTGGTGGGGGTGGAGGCCAGGGATGTTACTAAACATCCTATAACACACAGGACAGGCCCCCACAACCAAGAATTATCTGGTCCCAGATGTCCATAGTGCTGAGGTTGGTCTAGATGAAATCCCACAACTTGACGCTCTGCCCAGCTCCATAGTGTGTGGCTAGGAAAGGGTTTGTGGCAGAGATAGCAGATAAGGTGAGAGCCAGCTCTGATCGTTGGAAGATAACTAGAGCACTGCTGAGGTGTCTGAGGCTGAGTCTTGGCTCAGCAGGGAAGACCCTGGTGATTTCTTAGTGCCGTGGTGGCAAGTGTGCCAATACTGTGTCTGTGATTGAGGATTAGCTGGATGAAGAGGGGTCATGATGAGGGCTGAGCCTGGCTGGGTCTTGGGACAGGTGGTGACGCTCCGAGAGGAGCAGCACCAGCAGCAGATTGCCTTCTCGGAACTGGAGATGCAGCTGGAGGAGCAGCAGAGGCTGGTGTACTGGCTGGAGGTGGCCCTGGAGCGGCAGCGCCTGGAGATGGACCGCCAGCTGACCCTGCAGCAGAAGGAGCACGAGCAGAACATGCAGCTGCTCCTGCAGCAGAGTCGAGGTGAGCAGCCCGGCCCATGGCTCACAACCCCGGCCCCCTCCATCCCCCCCACCCCCATCTTCCCCGCCCTGCACCCCCCTCCCTCCCCCCACCGCCCCTGCCACTCACAGCCCCTGCACCTACAGCCCTGGTGGCCCGGCCCACCGCTCACAACCCCGGCCCCCACCCAGCCCACAGCCCCCACCCCCACAGCCCTGGCCGCCTGCCCCGCCTGCAGCCCTCACCACCCTCTCCTCGACCTTTCCACTCTAGACCACCTCGGTGAAGGGTTAGCAGACAGCAGGAGGCAGTATGAGGCCCGGATTCAAGCTCTGGAGAAGGAACTGGGCCGTTACATGTGGATAAACCAGGAACTGAAACAGAAGCTCGGCGGTGTGAACGCTGTAGGCCACAGCAGGGGTAACTCCTCGTCGCGCTCTGAAGTCAGACCTGTTCCCTTTCTTTGGGGAAAGCTTAGAGACCACTCTCCCTCGAGCCTTTATTGGCTCAATTCACAGGTTGCTTATTGTGCTGGGGCACTGGGGAGCTAGGGCTTCGGGAAGGTGTTGCCACCTGTTTCTGATGAGGACACGTTACTCTCCATGACAGGTGGGGAGAAGAGGAGCCTGTGCTCGGAGGGCAGACAGGCTCCTGGAAATGAAGATGAGCTCCACCTGGCACCCGAGCTTCTCTGGCTGTCCCCCCTCACTGAGGGGGCCCCCCGCACCCGGGAGGAGACGCGGGACTTGGTCCACGCTCCGTTACCCTTGACCTGGAAACGCTCGAGCCTGTGTGGTGAGGAGCAGGGGTCCCCCGAGGAACTGAGGCAGCGGGAGGCGGCTGAGCCCCTGGTGGGGCGGGTGCTTCCTGTGGGTGAGGCAGGCCTGCCCTGGAACTTTGGGCCTTTGTCCAAGCCCCGGCGGGAACTGCGACGAGCCAGCCCGGGGATGATTGATGTCCGGAAAAACCCCCTGTAAGCCCTCGGGGCAGACCCTGCCTTGGAGGGAGACTCCGAGCCTGCTGAAAGGGGCAGCTGCCTGTTTTGCTTCTGTGAAGGGCAGTCCTTACCGCACACCCTAAATCCAGGCCCTCATCTGTACCCTCACTGGGATCAACAAATTTGGGCCATGGCCCAAAAGAACTGGACCCTCATTTAACAAAATAATATGCAAATTCCCACCACTTACTTCCATGAAGCTGTGGTACCCAATTGCCGCCTTGTGTCTTGCTCGAATCTCAGGACAATTCTGGTTTCAGGCGTAAATGGATGTGCTTGTAGTTCAGGGGTTTGGCCAAGAATCATCACGAAAGGGTCGGTGGTAACCAGGTTGTGGTTTAAATGGTCTTATGTATATAGGGGAAACTGGGAGACTTTAGGATCTTAAAAAACCATTTAATAAAAAAAAATCTTTGAAGGGACAAATGGGAAGTTTTCACTTAGAGTTTGATTTACAAGACAATAGGAGGAATCAGATTTGGGAACACAACAGGCTTGAACACTTTCTGGAGACTGAGAGACAGTTCAGAGTCAGCCCTCACCGTTAGCCAGACCCCTGGCCAGGACCCGCAGCAGGCTGGTCCAGCGGGTCTGTGGGGCACTCCTGTGGGGCACTCTTGGTGGAAACGATGAGCCAGGTGATGGTCTCCCCAGGAGTGGGCAATGGGTGAGGCCTGAGCCCTGAACTGGCTGGCTCTTGGACAGTCCTTGAAAATGTGGCTGCTCCAGAAGCCACTCAAGCTGGACCATGGTCACAGTTAACCTCAGGCCCAACATTAAACAAAAATGTACTGAGTGCTCAGTCACTAGAGATGATTTTACTGTTACACAGGGAAGGCAAAAAATAGCTTCCACTGCCCAATGCACTCTTCAGTTTCACGTATATGGCTTCACAGTTTACAAAGCGCTGCCTGTGTCGCAGCAGCCCAGCCTTACAGCAGCTCAAGGGACCCCAGGGAGGGCGCCTTTCTCCATTTGCATAAATGAGGCAGAGTGGCCCCCTGACTTGCCAAGGTCATGGTTGGGGTGAGGCTGGAATGGGATTCCTTGTCTGGGTTCCTGACTCCCAGGCTGCCTGAGTTATAGCACCAATCACATTGCCATCCACCTCTCCTCCTGCAACTTCCCCAACAAGGGGCAGGGCCAGGAGATGGATTGGATCCATAAGGGGAATTAGAAAACCCTAAGGCATTCTAATGGCAATCTGAACACTGACCATGGCAAAAGAGGCTTGGGACCAGGCATCCAACTTCTTTATGTCCACAGGGTCCTGGCTGACTCCTTGATCTTTTGGGCTCAGTAATGTTTGTGGCTATAAGTCCTCCAGCCAGGTTCCCATGAGCTTCTTCCGTGTATAAGTTCTGCTGATGGGGCGCCTCCTGGAGAAAGCGCGACTGAAAGGAGAGTCTTCTACAGTGGAGGGAAGAACATCCACATCCTCATCTAGAAGAAGGTAGAAAGGCTTAGCATGCAGGAGTCACAGAGGACCGAACTGAAAAAAATTGGCTTAAATTGCAGAGGGTTACACACAAAAACAGACTTTAAGAAAATCAGCACTGCTTGGAGGTTCGCTTATCCTACAGAAATGGTACCTACACTTTTTAGAAGGACCCTGCCCTTAACAGCTATGCACCGTGCTGGCAGCAAGAAGCAGCTCTGAAAATGCAAAGTACCTGTGGTTTGAATTCCCTCAGGTTAATATCCTGTATTCTTTCTAGGTCTCAGATCTCTGGGGTTATGCTGTTTTGCATGATTTATATCATGGTCTTGAGGGAACTGAACCACCAAAGGCCCCCTCCTCCTGCACTCCCCCTTTGATTCTAGCAGCAGAAGGCAACATTGCTAACCAGGGCAGTTAACAGGCCAAATCCTTGTCTTTTGGGAATAGGATTTGGAAGGGGAAGGGGAATCCTAGAGCCTGCAGGCTGATTATAACTACAGTCAGTACTGTGTCCCACCGAATATACAGAACATGCGGATAAACCCGCTGTGGGGAACTAGCTCTAAACAGGCCTATCACTCGTGCTGCTCAGAACGCCTTCCTGTTCAGATTCTTAGACTGCAGATGAGCAGCATGTTGCGGCAAGCCCACGACTGTCAACATTTTCAGGAGGACCGAGGAATTTTAGCAGGATTTTGAGGGGCTTCTGTTCACATGCACACAAGTTCTAATGTGGAGTTTCTCTGGGAAGGGCACACATGACGCTGTAGGCGCGAAGTCACCTATCCCACACTTGGCACTCCCTGGGGCTCCTCTAGAATCGAGCTGCCTGGCAACCCTGGTGAATTCAGACAGTCTGTCACAGGAAAGGGTCCTAGACCTTCAACAAACATTACCTCTGGGGTCTTTGCTCTGAGAGGAAGGTGTTTTCCCCTGGAACAGCAGCGGAGACTGGGTCAGAGCCTGGAGGGCACTGGCAGAGAGGCAGCTCCGCACGGCACAGCTGGGAGGTGGGGTGGAGCCTAAAGAGATCCCACATAGTAAGAGCAGCGTCCCCAGACCCCCAACCGGGAAGCCCAGGCCTCCCAAGAAGCAACTCCCAAGTGCCTCCTTGTCAAGCACTCTGACCAAAAGAAACCATGAGGAAACTGGGTTTCAAAAACGAACTCACCGGAAACAAACACCTCTTCGTCTCCCGTGGAGGGTAGCTGCCATGCACTCCAACTTGGAGACCCCTCTTTACTCTTACTAACTTCTGAATCTTCTCTCAGGTCACAGATCCTTTTGGCTCCACGGTCAGCTTCTTCCTTGGCCAACAGGACTCTCTTCCTGGAACTCAACCCAAACTGTCCCCAGGAAGAGGCTTCCTCGGCCTTAGGCATGCTGTTCCTGGGAGGCGACTGGTCTGGGAGCTGGCACACTCCCTCGAGCTCAAAATCCTCCAAGATGGGCGTCCTGTGGATGCTGAGTTCAAGGCCGTGGTCCTTGCCCTCTGACTCAAGCAGTGACAGGCTCCCAGGAAGGTCTGCACCGACCTCGCCCCTCCCGGAAGAGGAGCCGGCGCCACAGCCCACCGCCCTCTTCCTCCTGGGCCAGTCTTTAATTATGTCTGGAGTTGTCTTCCCACTGTGCTTGGGGGATGGTGTCCAAGGAACCCCATCTGTTTGAAATGGAGAGGGGGTACTAGAAGGGCCGTGGGTGGGGGTACAGGCCTGGCAGATGTAGGTTTGCCCCCTGCTCTTGCCAGGTGTGCTGTGGGAGAGGCGGGGGCAGGGGGGTGACACATAGGTGGGTTCAGGTTTGCTTAAGGACCTGCTGGCCCTGGGCATGCTGAGAGCAGGGAGGAAGCTCTCTTCTCCCAGAGAGCTCTCCTCCTTGCTGAGGGGCTCAGCCTCTAATGAAGAGCTGGGGTCTATCTTCTTAATTCGAAGTTTGGGAAGGCCAGAAGCTTGCATCTCCAGCTCAACCTCATAGGTCTGTGGGCTGGCAGAGTCTGTGGAATGCCAAGCTGATGCTGGCAGGTTGTCTAGTTGTGCCGAAGCCTGGCACTGTCTCCCATCTGTGGTACAGTGCACGTCACGGGAAGGCATCAGAGGAGAGCCAGGCCCACAGGAAGGAGGAGATGGGGGAATCCCAGGGTGAGACAGAGAAGACTTCTCAGCATCTGCTGTCCTTAGCCCCTCACCCTCTTCCACTGATAAGACGTTACTTTTCAAGTCACCAATGCCATGGTGTTCGGCTTCACTGAGGAGAGTGACATGCTCTGTGTCACTTGTAATGAGCAGAGGAGAGGATGCATGCCAATCACTCCTGAGACCAGGGCCTGGGTAGCCCCGTCTTTCAGGAGGAGACTGAGGAGAGAGGCTCAGTCCCTTCTGGTCATCTCTAGAGTCTGTGGGGGCAGCTGGGCTGTCAGCTGTGCCAACCCCAGGAGTAGCGGAGGCATCAGGCTGACACTCCACGATGCTCCTTCTGGGATCAGAGGTCTTTCTACACCGTTTCCCAACTTTAGAAGGGGGTGGAGGAGGGACGGTGTCCAATGTAGCTCTCTGTGAGAGTTCAGGGGGAGTTGAGGGAACAGGGCAGGAGAGAGATGCAGCTACGCTGGGTGACATCTGGGGCTCTTTCTGATCCAGTTCTCCTGGGGAAGGACACTCTATTTTAGATTTCCTAAATGGACTCTTCTTGGAGACATCACATAAAGGAGAGGTAAACAGTTTCTTTGGCGTAACAGGTGGGGAAGAAGTCACAGTTGAATTCCCTGGTCTTTTTGGAGTTTTGATAGCTTTATCCTTTAGTTTCTGGGCTGGTTCCTCTGCCCGAGCAGCTCTGAGGACATGGGGCTGTTGGTGTGTTTGATTCTGAGGCGTGCCCATGAAGGCTGCTGCTCTCGGAGGTGTTCTGAGAGGGTCTCTGATGGGAGTGAGACACTCTCTCCTGGGCTGGGCAGTCGATGAAGTTGGAGGGGCTGGACAGGAGGGGCTTTCTGGACTGGAATTCACTGAATGTGGCCAAGTACAGTTTGGCAAAAACCCAGGCGGCTGAGTACCTTGCCTCTTAGGAGTTCTTGGTGTCTTCGTTTCAAGAGAGGTACCTTCTCCTGCCTGGGTATGTCGTTTTTGAGGAGTGATTTTTGAATCCAATGGTGAGTCATGGCCGGGTGAGGAGGAGTCTTTTAAGGACTCCTTAAAAGCTGCCTGCTTTGTAGGGGTCATTTTTGCAGGGGACTTCTGCAGCCTTTCTGGAGTATACAACGGAGTTTGTGGTGTATGAGAGATCCTTCTTGGTGTAGTTTTAGAAAAGCTCAGAGATTTCTGGTGACTCTTCTTGGGAGTCTGAAAAGAGAAATGCTTATTTCAGTCCTTGAATATTATAACTCATGATCTCTGAAGTGTTTTAGTAATCTCTAAGACCAAATGGGAGATTTATAGTCAGCCAAAGGAATGATCTAAAGATGGAAATCTCAAATAGTGACCCGTTTCCCTCTCCAAAACATGACTCAGATTTTACTTGTCTACTTTTTCTAGGACCAAACACTATCCAAGTTTAGTTTGTCCTAGAACAAATAATTTTAATAATCTACATATTGCTAAACCATGCTTTTTGCCTCTAATGGAATCATTCTACCACTGCAGCTACTCTCTAGCTCTTCCTTCTTTTCAGATAAGGCAGCTATTTCTGATCTTTGCCTAAAGCAGCCTCCAGGAGCCACCTCATCTGCTGCTCACCCTCATTCAACATGTGCTTACTGATCACCTGCTATGTGCCAGGCACTGTGTGTTGGGGGCATGGAATACACAGATATATAAGGTGCAGCAGCAAAGATAATGTCTCAGAAAAGACACTCCCCAATAAAAAATT